>NC_000010.11:89991580-90294610 GCF_000001405.40 Homo sapiens | reverse complement strand
CCAATATAGTAAAAAACATTACTTTGATTTTCTTAAATGTTTAAGAAGACTTGGATTTGAAAATGAGCAAAATTAAGTTAGAGGAACAGTTATTTGATCTAACTGAACAGTCCTGTTTCACAGTGGACAGCCGCTCGTGATAAATCACCATGTTTAGGGATAGCCTCCTCAACATTCCTCCCAACAGTTAAGGTTGATGCTAGTGCTCCTTCAGCAGATATATTGCTTCTGATTATCATTCGCTTGGTGATTTTGCTATGGCACTGTGGTATTGAATAAATGTCAACAAGCATTTTACACATGATAATTATCACCTCTCTTGAGAGACAAAAACAACACTCAGTTCTTAATTTTTTATGAAACACATACTTTCTTTTTTATTTGGCTCATGTTGCCAGAAGAGTTTATTGTAAAATAAATAGGAAGAGACAAAAAATAACTAAGTGTAGATTTTATACCGTATACTAAGTGACAAAATGCTATAACAATACCAGGCTACTCTCTATACACTCTATGGCAGAGCTGCTCAGCTTCTATTCACTGAAGTTTCATGTACAGTCATGCACTGAATGATGACATTTCTGTCAATGATGAGCCTTGTATATGATGGCATTCCCATAAGATTTTAATACCATATTTTTACTGTAGGTTTTCTATGTTTATATACACAAATACTTGCACTGTGTTACAATTGCCTACCGTAATCAGTACAGTAACATGTTGTACAGGTTTGTAGCCCAGGATATATAGCCTATACCATCTAGCCTAGGTGTGTAGAAGGCTATATCGTCTAGGTTTGTGTAAGTATGCTTTACCATGTTTGCACAATGATAAAATCACCTAACAACACATATCTCAGAACTTAGCTCTGTCATTAAGCAAGGCATGACTGTGGTTCTAACTTACAGCTCCTTTTGTTTTCTGTTAACCTTGACAACTGGTGGCCTGGTATCGTCACACGTTTTGTTTTTTGTTTTTTTTTTTTGAGACAGAGTCTTGCACTGTCGCCCGGGCTGGAGTGCAATGGTGTGATCTCGGCTCACTGCAACCTCCGCCTCCCAGGTTCAAGCGATTCTCCTGCCTCAGCCTCCCCAGTAGCTGGGATTACAGGTGCCTGCCACCATGCCCGGCTAACTTTTTTGTATTTTTAGTAGAAACGGGGTTTCATCATATTAGCCAGGCTGGTCTCAGACTCCTGACCTCGTGATCCGCCCGCCTTGGCCTTACGGGCGTGAGCCACCGCGCCCAGCCTCTTTGCACTTCTTGATCTTGACACATGATATGACCACAACTGCCTGACAGGGGCATCTGCATCCCTTATTTCTGTCACCACAACTAGGAGTTAGCTACCCCAGCTGCTAGTAAGTATCTGAGAGTACTTTCTGTTATTGATGAAGGGCCTACACACATTAAATCTGGAAAGGTGAGAGAAAATAGCTGGTACTGAGTCCAGCATACAGAGTGGTAACCTCTGGATACTCACAAGGTATATCTTTAAAAATGTAAGTGTAGCTATAATACTCTCCCTTCAGTTTAAACTGTTTAATATATTTAGTAAAAGTAAAAATAACTTTTACATTAGGATTCAAATACAAAATTTAAAAAATTAATGATTTCTTAAATATGCATTAAGATGCTGACTCCTACCTTGTCAATCTATTGTTAGAAGCACTTTTCTGCCCTATATAACTAATAGTAGTAGTTCAATAAAATTTCTGAACTCTGGTCATTGACTAATCTCTAACATTATAATTTCTAGCATTATTTAAATTCTCCTTACTTTTGCCAAGTAATTAGCCTCTTTGTAACCACTAAATTTTTGGACCTAATCTCTCAGTTTAGGAACATTTTGCTAACAGGCTGTCTTACTCATAGTGACTCTACATCTATTTTGAATAAATTACCATTGCTTATTAGTCTCCCCTAAGCTCTCACCATTTTTACGTCCTTCCTCAGTCCACCTTTTCAGTTGTTTCATTTTCACCTCTCCAAATATGCTCAAATTTCTTCTTATTTCTCTTAAATGTAAAAGGTAAAACCAGAAATTGAAAACCAAATCATTCTTGAGAATACATCCCAGTGATCTCTTACTAGTTTTAAAACATGCTCTATGCCTAATTCTCTTTTTTTGGTTTAATTAAATGTAGAGGATTTTATTTATTCTTAGCTTTTTCTTCCAGTGCCAACTAAATTTGATTTAATGTTTTCATGGAACTTGATTCTATATTTGATGGATAATTTGGGATCAGATATGTTCACCTGTGGTATTAGTCCAAATTGATAATCCTACCCAATTTTGTATTTTAAAATTTAATACATAAGATGACATAAAACCTTAAATAATATATTTCTCCAATCCTAGTCAAAACCGCTGTGAGACATGCATTTTATTTCTAAAGTATATGCATAAACTTTGATCACTATTGCTTAAGCCCTCAGACCATTAAACATAGAGGATGTAATCAAAGTCTCAAAATGAAGATTCTCTTGCTTCTTATTCTTTGACAAGAACAAAAAGAAAATTAAACTGTTGCAATGTGACTTACATTTAGATGCTCTGTGCACAGGTTTCCCAAGACACATGGCTATTAACAAACACATTTTACTCCTTTTCGGTTAAGCACATTTAAATATCTTATTAAGAAAGATTGTCAAGCTTTTGAAAGTATAAACAGATCAATATTTTTAAGTAAGTACATTTAAATCAGGATTTTTGTAGAATTTTTATGGGACAAATGGACAGAATAATCTAGTTAATTCACAATTTGAATCTTTCCAAAGACCCTCAAAACTTAAAACACAAGTGATTTATATCTTAACACGTGTGTTTGGTAAGTCTGAGATGAATAGTACCATACCAAGGAAAACCACGTCACAGAAAAGAGATCTGTTTGTTTTCTGAAGTTTTTGTTTCTTTCTGTTTTGTTTTGAATAATATATTTGGGAATGGTGGTACAAAACTTGAAAATGGTCTGGTCAATACCCTAAAATGAGAAGCAATGGTGATGATGAACCAGCAACATCCTGCATGTTATAGTGCCGAAGGGCAACAGGGCAGCAGGGCTATGTGGCAGATGCCATGTAGGCAACTTGCCGCACCTCTCTGAGTCTTGTTTCCCACATCAGTAAGATGATAATAATGATCATAGTGTCAGTGTCACTGTTAGGAATTATGATTTATGTAGTGCACAAAAGTCATTAAAATGTTTAAGCAGTGGCAAAGGAAAGAAAAAAGAAGAAAAACCTCAGGTGAGTGCTATCTTGGGTGAGATGCCAAAACATCAGGCATAAACAAGGACTGCTGTAGGCAAACAAGATTGGGTCTGCTATGAGTCGCTAAATGTGCCTGCTTTTCCAAAGCATCCTGTTTGGGGGAGTTTTGTTTTTGTTTTTGATTTGGATTTTGGATTATTGTTTGTTTGTTTTTCTTCATTTTTCTTCTTCTCTATGATCGATGGCCTTTTATTTTTGGTCTTTTTTACTTGATAATTTCCTCTTATGCCTCCACTGAGTTGACACATCAGGGAAGTGTCCCACTGGACAACTCAAAAGGGTGGTAGGTCTGGGCGAGCTCTGCTCTAGTATTTAGGGAGAAATAGACCGTTCCTTCTTAGAGAATCATGGTTAGATGTTGGGAAGCAAGATTAGGGTAAGGACCAAGGGTAGAGAAGGAAAAGGCTCTAGACCTGCTTGTGGACATAGACTTCGATAGAAAGGAGAAAGGAAGTTACCAGGTCAAGGGCTTCTATTTGAGAGTTTGCAGCCAAAGCTCCCCAGATTTAGGGGTTCCAAATAAGAGTCTGAGGATGGGGCCCTGCATTAATGACAGGTGTGCCCTCACCAGGAGGCCCTCCTGCATATCTTTCTCGTGAGCTTACAGCAGTGAGAGTTTCAGGGAAAACACTCATATCCACTGTTTTTTTTTTCTTTTCTTTTTTTTCTTCCCTCAAAAGCCTATTTTCCCTTCACATGGGTGAAAAGAATGACACATGTGGTATTAATTCAAATCCAGGACCCTGGAATCATAGTGTCATAAGATAAAAAGAGAAATAATTAAACGATGAATCTTTTCTCAGTCCCAGAGCAAGGGCTGGCACTAGGAAGCATTTTAATAAAGAATCTGCTTTATATACCCTCCTGCCTTTCTCTCATGTTTTTTCCAGCTCACATAGCCTTTCACCTGAGGTCCTCAGGCAGCCTGCACCATCATGATGTCCTAAAACACTGTGACAGTATGATATCCCATTCCAGCCTCCACTACTTTCCAAAGGTGCACAAATTCCTAACTTCCTACCTCCCACCTCCGCACCAAATCCCAAGGTTTTCTTTAGAGTTGGACTCAGCCAGGGGTATCAAGAAAAGTAGCTGATTAAATCAATTCACAGAATGATTTGAATGACTGATCTTTTACACACCCCCATATATTTGCATTTTTGGAAGAGGAAGCTTGTTAAATAAATCTATCATCAGTGAAATTTTTAGGCAACTTATCAAAGAGAAAAGAAAAAAAATTAGGCTTTGACAGGAAAAGAGATTTAGAGAAGGGCTGAGAAACCAAACTCAATTTTGTCTGGCCACCAGATTCCCAAATGTGGTATTACTCTGGTCTCACAATATTCCTCAGCATACAAAGGTTGATAACAATGGCTGTCATGTAGCAATCCAAACAGGAGTGAACAGTTTGTGTGTGTGTGTGTGTGTGTGTGTGTGTGTGTGTGTGTGTGTGTATAAGTCAGGGAAGCAGGTTTGGTGGTATGAACAACAGAAATGGGTTACTTTTAGATTGAGGTTTGCCCATCATTGATGCCTTGTGGTTAAAAATAAAAATAATTCTAGCATTTATATGAAAAGTCTTAAGTGTAAAATAAACATTTTCTTCTGATTGGCTAACTATGGCATCAGTCAGTAAGTGATTCATGGCACAAGGCAACACTTAGACAATTGTATTTGTTAATCTTTGCTGAGCAACAAACTATCTCAAAACATTATTACTTAAAGCAATAATCTAGTATACTTTCATGATTCTGTAGATCAATAATTTGGGATGGGCTCAGCTGCAAGGTTCTTACACTAATTTTACCTGGACTTAACCCATAGGGCAGCAATTGAATGATGGCTGGGTGGTTTAAGATGGCCTTAGTCAACATATTTTGCAGTATATGGGCTTTGAGCTGAACACTTCAATTTTCCTCTACTGCACTGCTCCATCAGGCTAGCTTGGACTTGTTCACATGACAGCAGTATCCCAAGAGGGCAAAAATGGAAGCTGCAAGGCTTCCTGTGTGGCCAAGGCTCAGAATGCACACAGTGTCACCTTCTCACTTCTTCATAAGTTTGTTTAATAGCGTTGCTGTCTCAACATCCATTTTTAGCCTGATGTAAGTTCTTTGAAACCTGGTCATATCCTGTCACTTTTGGCCTAGTTAGAACTTTTCCTTTCTGTGTGATTATTTGTGGTATGGCCTGCTTGTTCCTCATCCCACTAACCTAAAACCCAACACAGTCCACAGCTGCTAACCACAATAAAACCTAATGGTCAACACTTGTCATATTAATAAGTTCCTGCCATTTGCATGTGTTTTCTTTAACTAGCCAATCCACAATCCCCCCTTGGGAAAGCTTAAGGGATAATGCCAATGGGTCCTAATAAAGGCATAGTCCCACAGGTCCTCTCTTTCTTTCACCTCTCTCTCTCTTCTCCACTACCCACTGGTTGAGATCCCTGCTGCCTCCAGATGTCCTGTCAGCCTCCTGTTGGCCCTCCAAACCTCTCTGGGACCTGTATGTAAGTAACAAATTTCTTCTGCTTCCTGCATTTTGGTTTTACTTCCTCATTGTGTCTCACTTGACACACATATCCAAACCTAACTTCCCCCTGGTCAGAGTTTTCCTGGAGTGTGCCTTATGGCTACTCTCAAAAGAGAGACCTCGAGACCAAATTAAAAGAACTTACAACTTTATTACATTCCATTGGTTAAAACAAGCAACAAAGCAAAAGCCAGAATCAAGTGATGGGGATATAGCTCCACCTCTTGATGGGAACTGCTGCAAAAAGCCACTGAAGACAGGAGTAGCTCAAAAGGTTTTCAATAATTTTCTATTTGGAGTGTTCTTTTTTGCTTCCCCACTTCCTTAGTGCAGTGAGATCCTCTTTTATCTGTAGAGAAGTCACATGGGGAGAGCTCATGTTCCAATTATAATTGAGGCTTAGGAGAACTGAGATGTTAGGTTGTTCATTATTCTATTTGAGGTAAAATGAACATAGCTAGACTTTATAGTTTTTAGAACATTTCAAGAATGACATGTCATCTGTTTTTTTCCAAGAAATGGTCTCTAGTGGCACTCTTTGGAAGAACTATAATCATTAGAACATTCATTGTCTCCTGAAATTTTTATTTTAAATTGTTTAAGCAGATGTGCTAAGATGTTTGCTTCACACATTTCCCAAATATTGGCTTCTTTAAGTGATGTGTTTAGTTTGTCCCTTGGGATATAGGTTTATGTTTCTTACATAAATCTCCTATAAAGCCTTGAAGGCAATTTTTTCTTGGGGAATATTTATTTCAATTTCTTAGGCTAAAAAGAAAAGTATTTAGGGGACCGTTTTATTAGTGTTTGTAATGAGAACATTTATGAGAGGCATTGATTTCTTGCGGAAAGCTTGTTTCTGATTCATGAAGAAATATAATAGAATTATGTGCTGGAAAGTTAATCTGGGTGTCCTGAGATGAATCTCTGCAAGTCACAAAGACTTGCTGTGTCTGTAAAATCAGATGATCAGAAACTGGGTCTAAACCACTGTGGCACTCTAGCCAAACCAACAATTTTGCAACACGACAAATAGCTATTCCAAATCTCACCTTGCAGACAACGGAAGTGGTAGATATCTGGGGTATAGTGAATGTGCTATGAAAATAGAAGGAAGAAGCCCTTGGACACAAAAGTGGAACCTTACACCTTGGTCTTGACCTCATTTTCATTTCCATCCACTTTTGTGCTTTCTAAAATTCAGTCTCTGAGATAAAAGCTCTGATTAGAGATTTGGCAGCTCTTATTCCCATAAAGCAAAATTTATGACTATCATCTAGTCTTCAAGAATCTTTCACTCTTCATCTCCTGCTGCTTCTATCCCAAATATGCTTGATTTTCCCTGGAATCTCCAGTGCCTATCCTGTTTCTCAGTTGCAATAAAGACCTCTATATTACCCTATAGAAGGAGCAGTTTATATCACCTGTCACTCTCTCGTTTCTGGAATTTCTTCTCTTGGTTTCTGTGATGCATTCTTTTCTTCTCAGACTCCTTTGCTAATTCAGTACACCTGCTTGGACTCTCAATGCTGATATTCTCTAAGCTGACTCCTGGAATTTCTGTCTTGTCTATCTACACTGTTTTGTTTCTCAGTCTTATTCATTCCCATGATGTTAAACATCATATATGGCTTTACTTTTCAATGTTTACCTTTGGCCTTGGCATGATGCCACAATTATATTGGAACAGCCAACTCTCTACTTGCAATTTTCACTTAAAGTCTAATAGGCATCTCAAAGTTACCATGATAAAAGCAGAACTATGAACTTTGACTCCAACCTACACCTCTCTCTACTTTTTCCGATTCAGGACAGTATCACCACCCTCCCAGTTTACTCAAACCAAAAATACAGGTTCCTTTTTTTAAAAAATTTAAAAGTTAAGTTAAGCCAATAGCAAACCCTCCTTACTTTATCTCCAACATATATTCAGAATCCATCCATGCCTTCTATCTCAACTATTTCTCCCTTAGTGCAATCAATTCTCATCCCTTGCCTGAACTACTACATTAACCTTCTCACCTTACTCCATGAGTGTAATTTTTATTTGTGTTTTAATTCATTACAAGAGAAATTTTTAAACATACACAAAACTAATGACAATATTATAATGAGCCCCCATGAAAACCTCATCTAGTTTCAATAATTCGTAACATTTTTCCAATCTTGTTTCATCATACCTCCCTCTTTTCTCTCCCCCAATCAATGACGTATTTTAAAAAGAAATCACACACATCATCTAATTTCACTGTAAATATTCAGTATATATCAGTAGTGGATAGTGACTCATGTTTTTAATATAACTATAGTACCACTATACACCTAACAAAAATAACAATTCTCTTACAGCATTTAATATTCAAACCACTTTCAAATTTCCCAGATTGTGTCAAAAATGTCTTTTTATAGTTATTTTGTTTGAATAAGAATCCAAACAAGGTCCAGAGCTTGTATATGCCTCTTGGGTCACTTTTAATCTACAATATTCTCCTTTATTTCATGCTGTTCATTTGTTAAAGAACCCAGTTTATTTGTTCTGTAGTGTGACCCACATTCTCAATTGGTTGGTTGCATTTTTATAGTTCTTTGAATATATTTCTGTCTCCACAGTTTCTCTTTAGATTGTTAGTTAGATCTAGAAGCTTGGTTTTATTCATGTCCAATTTTATTTTGACAAAAATAGCTTCACTTTATAGGTGATGTGCTGTGTACTTCCTATTGTGTCATATCAGGCATATCTAGTGTCTGGTTGTCCCACTTTTAAGGGATAGTGAGAATAATTTGTGGGTTCCAGTGATGTCAATTGCTTCATTCATTATACAATTCCCAAACAACTTTTTGCTTAAATGTCCTAGGAGCCATTGATAACCACTATCTATATCTGTTATTTCAGTATAAAATTTAAAAAAATTATTTAAAAAAATTCTGCCATTCTGCTTGCATGTATTGGCTGAAATTCCTCTGTAAAAAAACTATTTTGTTATCTTAAAAGCCACTTTATACAGAAAAATAATGATGAACATTTAATCTTTGCCATTCACCAATTTTTAGAATAATGAGCCAGTGTATTGGAAAATTCCAACAATAACAAAATGTTTTAATTGTTGTTTAATTTCATTATTATTATTAATTTGTGTATATTTGATATGTGTCAGCCCATAAAATCTTCTTTAAACTGTCCTCCCTGTTACAAATTTTATCCTTATAAATATCTTCATTACACTGCAGTCAGTGTGATCTTTGAAAAACTCCAATCCCATCTTGTCTATATGCCATTGAACACTCTCCAGTGGTTCCCCATTACAATTACAACAACACTCAAATTCCTCATTCTAAAAAGGGGTATGTATCATTGCCCTGCCTATCTCTCTGACTATACTTTGTACAATTATTCCCCTTAACACAGATGCCTTTTTGTTTCTTAGATACCTGTCATCTAGGGACTTTCTCTCTATCAGCTATGCTATTATTCTTGATTTTTGCATCTGTACTTCTTGTTATTTGGTCTCAATCCTATGACACTGAGTTATTTTCCATCGGATCACCCATCTGTTTTATTCTTGGTGTAGACTAGTTGATATTTTCTCACTAATTTATTACTTCTTGGTTTTATCTTTCTCCCTCCTCTATACTTTAAGTCTTATTGAAAGCAAGGATCTTGTCTGTCTTGTCCACCGCTGAATCTCTGGAGCCTAGCACACAGTAGGCATTCACTACACATTTACTGAGTAAATGGCTGCTTGAATTCATGAAGGCCCACTGAATTTAAGGCTGAATCTCCTCAGAAAAAAGGGCCCCTGAGATGTACACATACATTACCAGTGACTTCTTGGTGTAAGAGAAAGCTCTTGCTTTCTGTCAGGAAGGCTGAAGGTGTTCTGACCCACAGGAATAGCAAGTAAGTTTTAACTTAAAAATGAATTTTTAAAAAGTATTCACATGAACAGAAAAATTAAAAATCAACACAATATATTTTAAAATCTTTTATAACAAAACTATACATCTTAATTAATATTAAGAGATTTGTTTTAAATGTTACAGTTTGAAATTTTCTTATTCAAATTGTTAGCAGTGCCAAATTATTAAAATTACTTTATATTAAAAAGTAACACACGTATATCTTCTTTTGATATTTCTTTCCTATTTGTGACTAGATAAAATTTAGTGGAGCAAAGAAATTTCCAAAAGACTCTTATATTAGTAGGTTCAATAGAAAAAATATGTCATGAAGTACAGAGTTTTTAAGCCACATGAAGTATTAGGCTCTGATGGCTAAGAGTCTAATAGTTTCAAACAATACAATGTTCATGTTGTTAGATAACTAACTATAAAACTCATTCCATATATTAATTCTATTCTACCTGTATTACATCATCATTTAATATAAAAATTCTGGATGTAACTATTTCTAGTCAGTAAATATTTTAAAAATTGTACACATATCTTATTGATGATTTGAAAATCTGGAAGTAAGATTGGAGTAATCTACAACATTTTAAAATGAAAAACATATAACATTTTTCTTTGTTTGGCTGTTTTTGTTTTGTTTTGTTTTTTTGTTTGTTTGTTTTTGAGATAGAGTCTCAGTCTGCAGCCCAGGCTGGAGTGCAGAAGCATAATCATAGCTCACTTCAACCTTGAACTTCTGGGCTCAAGTAATCCTCTCACCTCAGCCTCCCTAGTAACTAGGACTACAGGTGTATGCCACCACACATGGCTAATTATTTTATTTTTTGAAGAGATGGATTCTCGTTATGCTGCCTAGGCTGGTCTTGAACTCCTGACCTTAACCAATCCTCCCACCTTGGCCTCCCAAAGTGCTGGGATTGCAGATGTGAGCCACCATACCCAACCCCTACTTTTATTGTTTTGATAACAATATAAATTTAAAAATTAATTATCATTATAAATGTTATTTTAAATACATTTTTGCAAAGAAAATATTTGTTTCCAGCTGCAACAACTATTCAAGTTACAATTTGCCTGACTTTTAATTTTTGGTGGGTAATTGATTCCAAATCTTAACAATTTCCTTTTATTAAAATACATCAGAAACAACGTAAAAAGAAGTAACAAACTGGAAGATATTTACAATACATATACCTGATAAAGCAGTAGCGTTCCAAATATATAAGTAATTCCTGGAAATCAATTATTTAAAGTAAAACAGGCAAAAAGGTAAATTAAGAACAGGCATTTCACAGAGAAATAAACATGAATGATGAACCAATATATAAATAGTTGTTGAACCTCATTAGTAATTAAGAAATGTAAATTAAGACCACAATGACTACAATTTTGCAATATATTGGCAAATATTTAGTAGTTTGGCAGTATCAATATTAGTGAATACACGAATCAAAGGGAACCCATAAGCAATTGTTTGTGAGTGTGCACATTGATATACCAACTATATAAAACAACCAGGCATTATCTAGAAAAGTAGAAAATGTACACATTCTCTTACACAAACATCTCATTCCTATTTGTATACCTTAGAGAATCTGTTGACTATTGCCAATATGAGACACGCACAAGAATATCCACAGCAACTTGTTTGTAATTCAAAAAAAGATAAAACTCAAACAAATGCCCATTGAAAACAAAATAGATAATAGAATATATGTATAGAAGAATAAATGAATTAGAGCTATTCACAATAACATGGATAAATCTCAGAACCACAATATTGAGGGAAAAAGGCAAGTCTCAGAAGACTAGAAAAAGTATGTATTTTTATAAAGTTCAAGACAAGCAAACCAAACAATATATTGCTTAGGGATATAAATATAAATAGTAAGATAATTTTTAAGCAAAGGAATTCAGGACTGCTGTTAATTCTGGATGATTAGAAGAGGTAGGGAGGACACAGGTAGACTCAATTACACTGGTAAAAATTTAAGCAAGGTGGTGAATTTGTAGGTTTTCATTTTGTTATTTTACTTCAAAATGTATATTTGTTCATTTCTGTTGCCAGCAGTGGATGAATGGGATGATTAGGACTACAGACTCTGTCCAAAATGTACAAAACATCTGATTTAAGTTCTTGGAGAATTATCAAGGAAGTAAGAATTTTCAGGCCATGAACTGTAAAAATAGGGAAACCAAGAGAAGTATTTAGGCACTTAGAATATCACTTACCTGCTGGGTAATTACTGATTCTGAAAGCAAAAGTAGTGAATAAAAAACCTGAAAATATGAGCAGTTTTCATTAGTCTTACGAAGCTAGAGGAGAAAAGAAAAGTTCAGGAATCATGAAGGAAAAATATCCCTGGCTAATATTGCATATTTTAAAATGAAATTCTGATGGGCTACATTCCCTTTATCTGTGTTTTCACTTTCTACAGTTTTAGTTACCCACAGTTAACCATGGTCTGAAAATATTAAATGGAAAATTCCAGAAATAGACATTCATAAACAAATAAACATTTATAACCTTCAAATTGTGCACCATTCTGAGTATTGTTATAATTGCTCCATTTTATTATTAGTTATTGATAAAATATTACTGCACCTAATTTATAAATTAAATGTTATCATAGGAATGTATATATGGGAAAATGTTCAAGTATATATAGGGCTCAGTACTATCCGTGGTTTCAGGCATTCACTGGGGGTCCTGAGACATATCCTCTGTGGGTAAGGAGGATCCACTGTAATTTATAATGAACAGCAGATAGAGAAACTCTCACGAGGAGTAAAAGCCCTTTTTAAATGATTTAAATCCCAGATTTGGTTCCAATTTTTCTCCAGCTTAGCTGTCTACAAGAAAAAAAATAAATCATTTCTTAAGGAAAATAATATCATATGTAACTTCAAATTATTGCTACAATTTTTGACATGCAATGTTCAGCACCTAGTCAAAAATAGTGAATTTTACATGTACCCAAAATCGACGAGAAACCAAAGGACAATAAATATTAGAACTAGAACCCCCCAAAATACACATATTAAAATTATAAAGAATATACTTCATAAAAACACACAACTATATTTAATATGTTCAAGGAATTAAATAGTAAGTGGAGAATTTCAAAAGAAAACTGAACATTAACTTCCTTACACCCTATACAAAAATTAATTCAAGATGGATTAAAGACTTATATGTTAGACCTAAAATCATAAAAACCCTAGAAGAAAACCTAGGCAATACCATTCAAGACATAGGCATGGACAAGGACTTCAGGTCTAAAACACCAAAAGCAATGGCAACAAAAGCCAAAATTGACAAATGGGATCTAATTAAACTAAAGAGCTTCTGCACAGCAAAAGAAACCACCATCAGAGTGAACAGGCAACCTACAGAATGGGAGAAAATTTTCGCAATGTACTCATCTGACAAAGGGCTAATATCCAGAATCTACAATGAACTCCAACAAATTTACAAGAAAAAAACAAACAACCCTGTCAAAAAGTGGGCGAAGGATATGAACAGACACTTCTCAAAAGAAGACATTTATGCAGCCAACAGACACATGAAAAAATGCTCATCATCACTGGCCATCAGAAAAATGCAAATCAAAACCACAATGAGATACCATCTCACACCAGTTAGAATGGCCATCATTAAAAAGTCAGGAAACAACAGGTGCTGGAGAGGATGTGGAGAAATACGAACACTTTTACACTGTTGATGGGACTGTAAACTAGTTCAACCATTGTGGAAGTTGGTGTGGCTGTTCCTCAGGGATCTAGAACTAGAAATACCATTTGACCCAGCCATCCCATTACTGAGTATATACCCAAAGGACTATAAATCATGCTGCTATAAAGACACATGCACACATATGTTTATTGTGGCACTATTCACAATAGCAAAGACTTGGAACCAACCCAAATGTCCAACAACGATAGACTGGATTAAGAAAATGTGGCACATATACACCATGGAATACTATGCCTCCATAAAAAATGATGAGTTCATGTCATTTGTAGGGACATGGATGAAGCTAGAAACCATCATTCTCAGCAAACTATTGCAAGGACAAAAAACCAAACACTGCATGTTTTCACTCTTAGGTGGGAATTGAACAATGAGAACACATGGACACAGGAAGGGGAACATCACACACTGGGGACTGTTGTGGGGTGGGGGGAGGGGGGAGGGATAGAATTAGGTGATATACCTAATGCTAAATGATGAGTTAATGGGTGCAGCACACCAACATGGCACATGTATACATATGTAACAAACCTGCACGTTGTACACATGTACCCTAAAACTTAAAGTATAATAATAATAAATAGCATATAGCTAAAAAAAATACAGCAACAAATTTAGAGCTAATAGGATGTGTTTAATCAAATTTAGGGCTCATGGGATGTGTTTAATAGTATATTGGGCTCAGAAAAAAGAGTTAGTAAATTGGAAGATATGACTGAAAAATTACCTAGCCTGAAGTACGAGACAAAAGTTTAGGAAATATAGAAGTGAGTTTAAAGGGCATATGATGCACAGAGAAAAGTTGTCGCAACGAGTCAGTTGGGGCTTCAGAAAGATAATGAGATAGAGAAAGGCAGAATAAATATTTAAAGAGATATTGACCAATAACTTCAAAACTCACAAAAGCTATCAGTTAACAGGTTCAATAGGTGCTATGAACCTCAATAGGTTTTCAAATAGCGAAATAACCAAAAGATGCTTACCCAGTTGCAATATAGGAAAAGTGCAGAAAATTAAAGACATACAAATTCTCTTTAAAGCAGCCAGGAAAACAACAGAATATATTGCCTGCAAAGAAGCAACAATAAGAAGAAGAGTGATGTGAACAGAAACAATGAAAGCCAAAAGATAGTGGAATACCTTCAAAATAGAGAACAATAATATCTGCCACTCTAGAATTCTATATCAGCAAGCATATCTTTTAAAATACAAGATATTTGAAGAAATTTTTAGACAAGCAGGATCATGGAGTTTTTATAATCAATACCATACTAAAAACATTAAGCATATTATTCAAGCATAACACTAATTATCCCCAATTTGAGCAAAGTTATGCAAGAAGAAATAAAGACCAAAGAAATGGGTAAATATGTAGTGAAGACAAAAAGAATATTGACTATAAATATAGTAATAAAATATCTTGTGGGGTTTAATATTTAGAATTAGATTACGTGCAATAATAGTATACAAGCTGGTAAGTAGCTGAGTGAAAGGAATTAAATAGTTCTATGATCCTTGTATTTTCTGGATGATAATAAAATTACTAATTTTATGAAACCTTAATAAATCAAGAACATACATCAAAATCTCCATAGTAACCACCTAAAAAATAGTAAAAAAATATAAGCTAAGAAAGTGAGCATAATAGAAACAAAAAAATTATCAAAAATAAAGCAATAGGGAAAAGAAAATTTAAAGCACAAGAGATAAATAAAAAGTGAATATTAAGATAATAGGATTACTAAGCCCAAACACAATAAATGAAGAATAAAGACTCCACTTAAAAAATAATGACTGTCAATTGCTCTTTTGATATGACAAATTTACTTTAAAGCATAAACTAGTATTAGAAATAACAATGATATTTGATAATGAAAGGTCAAATACTAGGAAAGTATAACAATTAAAAATTTTTTGCACCTAACAATTTGGGCTCAATATCTATGAAACAAAAATTGATAGAAAAAAATAGACAAATGAACAATCACTATGTAATTTTGAAAAATTGTTCTCAGTAACTGGTAGCACAAATGGAAAAAAAAACAGTAAAGATAGAAATTTACCAACTTATTAACAAATTTATCAAATTAACATGTAAACTTTATACCACACAAAGAATGTTCATACTTTTCAAGTTTATAGAGTATTACCAAGGTTGACCATATGTTGGGCCATAAAGTAAGTCTCAATAAATTTCAAAGAATTCAAATGATGTAGATCCACACAGATTGAAATTACACAGATTTTGATCAGATATTCCATGACCACAGTAAAATTCAGCTAAAAATAGATAACAAAGGATATTTGAAGAACCTCAAAATGTTGGAAAATTATTGAACACACATTTAAATAACCCTTTGTTCAAAGAAGAAAACTGATGGTCAAAAATTTTTGAACTGATAGTAATGAAAATACCAAGTATGAAAATGTGTGGAATGCGACTGAGGCCATGTACAGAGGAACAGTTTTATCCTTAGATGTATATATTCAAAACTAAGAAACACTGAAAACCAGCTATCTATGCATCCATCTCAAGAATTTAGAAAAAGTAGTAAATTAAACCCAGAGAGACTAAGTAAATAATAATAATAATAGAAATTTATTAAGTGTAGGAATAGTTGCAAATCCTGTTTAAAGAAATACAAAACAGATACAATAGGAAAAACAAAGCTGAAAGTTGTATCTTTGAAACTTAGACTAAAAAAATTGACAAACTCCTGGCAAGCCTGACCAAGAACAAAAAAGATAAGACATAAAGAGCCAATTTAAAAAAACAGCACAATAGTTTATAAAAACATTGCAAATTTACTAAGAGGAACACTTAGGCAGCTGTAGAAAACTTGAATTTGAAACTGTAGATAAAATAGAGACAGGAGGAAACAGAATATGTAAGTAGTCATATATCCATTAAAAGAACTGAGTCTCTTATGAAAGAAAATCTTTCTTTGTGAAAACAAATAGCCCAGATGACTTTGTGGATGGGTTCTACTAAATATATACAAAACAAGCACAATCTTGCCTGAACTATTTCAGAAAATAGAAAAATAGATATTACGTCTCACCACATCATCTTATGATAATGTACCATGAGAGAACTGGTACATTATTTGAGTAATTACAATTATTTAAAATATGTATACTTGTGTGGGTAGAGAATATTTCTGGAAGGAGACACAAGAAACTGCTAACAGAAATTGCCTTCAAAGAGGAGAACGGGGCACACTGCCATGGGAGGGAAAGACGATATACTTTTTTGTGCTATTTGAATACAAATACATAGATGCATGGATTCTGTTTATAATGGAAATATTTAATTTTTAAAACAAAAAGGTAAAAGAATGAATAAAATTTTACCAGACTTCATGGATACAAAATATTGAGAGCTTGATTTAAGCCTATTTACCATACTAGAATCTCACGGACACAGAAAAAAAGAGCAAGTCTGGGTAATCGGTTAGTGGCCTCAGTAACATCTTAAAGCTGGAAAAGGCCAATGGAGCATAACTTATTCACCAATTTCAAGGCTAGACTGCATACCTGAGACATAACTGTGTACAAATGTTGATTCTGTGATACTGCTCGGTGCCTGCTTCTATGAAAAAGCTTCTAAAAGCACAAATCTGAGCTTTAGATGACATTAAATTCTGTCCTATTTCTTAAATGGACTGTTGAAGCTTTCCCTGTTAACATGCCATTGCATTTATCAGGGAGATAAGAACCAAGTTTCTTCATATAATCACACAGAAAAAGCTTCAACATTAATAGGGGAGAAAAATAGAAACTGAGATCAATGGATTGCTTTTATAAGTGCTGTTCTGAATGCAATGGTTTTCTGGTTCCAAGACGATGTCTGAGTGAATAACTAACAGCTGGTCTAATGACCTCTCCAAATCCCATTCCTAATGCTGTTTTTGGCAACTGACCAATTTTTTTAGCATTCAGCTATTTCAACAGCAGATAAAAAAAAAAAAGCAATAAAAAATGGTTGAGTGATGATAACTTGGGCTACCAGATTTAGATTTTGAAATACAGAAATAGGGGAGGCAACAGTCCGAAATGGGGAATGTGGTCAGTGGAAGGACTGCATGGACAGTGGAAGTCCAAATGACTGATGGACTGTGCATGGACTTCGAGAGGAAGGAGGTCACCTGCCACACACCCGACAAAGGCAAGGGTTGAGAATACAGCCAGATCTTAGGAAAGATGCAGAGGGGGAAGGAAGCCTCTTTTAGAAGTCCAAATGCACACTTAAAAATTTCACTTATTTAAACATTTATTCTGCTTATAGGAGAGCGTTAGGGATATAATCTCATGTTTGATATACAAATCTAAAACTCATTGTTACCCTGTGTAAAATCATTAAAAATTTGAATACAGTAGATCAGCCTTCCTTCAGCAAGTGTCCTGAAAAAAGAATGAGTTGACCCACTAAAAATGAGTTATTTTATTGATAAATAAAAGGTATTTTATTTATTAATAACTATAATCAGTGTTAATAAAACATTAATTTTGATTACTAATTATGTATTTATTATCAGTACATAAATAAGTTATTAATAGATAAAACTAAAGTTTTCAGAAATATTGATTCCATGTCTATTCTATCCAAAATATACATATTATTTATACCAGAATCTATATAGAAAGACAAAAGCATATAGAATTCATTATCCCTTGAAAGCTCAACAAGCTGATGCTCAGAGAAGCTGAGTTTTACAGTTTGCAAATCAACAAGCTAGAGTTCAACCTCAGGATTGTTTGATTCCCTAGTCTGCTCATGTGACCTCTGAAATCTTACTATTGCAAGTGACCCTCCTCCCCTACCAAAAAAAAAGTTTGTAGAGAAGCTTTCTTTTTCTTTTGAATAAGTACAAAAAAATTGTAGGCTAGTGATAAGAATGAGCCCACTTGTGTCTGGGCTAGCTGTCCTGTTATATGTCAGCATGTGACTTAGCACACGTAACCATTTCACACCTCAGTATCTCTATCAGTATAATTTGTGTAGCAGTATCACCTAACTTAAATAGATTAGAAGAAATTCTCCATGTGACATACTAAATGGCACCATAAAATCACAAAAAGTGTTGGCTGTTATGTCACTATTGACATAACAAAAAACATTGGCTATTATGTCACGTATTTGAGCACCTACTTTCTTCAGGACAATGTTCTTAACCAAAGATGACAAAGGCTTCCAGTTCCCAAGGAGTTGATTATCTAGTGGAGAAGAAATACAAATAAATATAATAAATTATTAGAAGGAGTATAATAAAAAGTGTGTATATATGTGAAAGAGAAAAAGACTCAAAACATAATTAGTTGTATTAGTTTTCATATTTATCCAAAAAGGCTTTCCAGAGATGAGTGCCTTTCCATCCTGAAAAGTGACATGTGGTATCTAAATAAAGCAGCCCTTTCAGGGCATATGTGCTGTTGCCTACTTCAAATGCATTTTCTCGGAATGGTTCACATATAGATGAAGTCACTGCTTCTATTAAAATCCCTCAAAGTCCTTTCCCTATTATCAGGTAGCATTTAAACACATTTTTGCTATTTATTTTACTACTTATTTGTAGAGAGCAGAATGTCAGGGTATTATTAGTTGCAAATCCTGTATTTCCCAGACACAGTTCTTGAGAATATAGTAGCAAAAGCAGGATAGTTTTATTCCCCAATTCAGTGTCATACAGAGGCAGGGACAAGGATGGGATATGACTCCACACAGCTAAGGCCTGACTTTGATAGAATAGTACATGGCCACTCTACAGTGGTAAAATCCAGGCTTAGAGAAGAGAAGCCACCCACTTCAACCTGGAGGGCATGTGGCTACTGGCAGTTATGGAGTGTCTGTCCTCCAGGGTTGTACTGAAAGACGCTGAGTGGCAAGTTGCAGTAGTGCTTCACAGATGCGCTTTATCACTCCGGGCAGCCCTGATCTAGACTCTAGTTGGAGGGGCCTGATAAATAAGCCAATCCTGGCCCTTGAGTGGATCGTTTGCACTGAATCATCTGTTCTGGCTTTTCACATTGATCAAAGTCACTAACTGTTGGCCCATCTGTATTTCCTTTTGAGCGAAGTTGCTGTTTGAGACAAATCTCAAACCAAGGAAGAGGAACTGCCCACAATATACTGGGATCAGGAGCCAGAAGGAAGTGGCACCTTCCTCAGCTGTGGAAATGTCTCCATAGTTAGCCTTAAATAAAACATCATAATTTGAAGCTAATTGAATGTGGTATGTCAGCAAGGTCATGTTACTACAAAGGCTACCATGACTCACACTTTGAAGGAGGAATTTTAAGAAGGAATCCAAACTTCAGGTCCAATTTAATAAAAATTTTCTATATCCAAAACCTGTCCACCTGAGCCTTTAGGAAGACATTTTCCTTCACTTTTAAAAATCTATAGAATCTGAGATTCTTTTTACATATATTTTATGACACTTATGCAAAATAAAAATACAGAAAAAGTATAAAGAAGAAAACTAAAGTTATCCATAATTCTACTCCACAGAGAGAATCACATTTTGGAGTTGCAGCCTTAGATAATTTTTAAAAACAAACAAACAAAAGTCAATTTATATAAAGAAACCATGTGATAGCTTGACTTTCTTCTTCACTTCCACTGGAATAACAATCAAATAAGAATTGCCAAAAGTTTATAACATTTTGGAGGAGGAGGGGACTAACACTTTGAAGGAGTAAAAGGTTAAAAATAATCAAGTCTCAAGAAATACATTAAACATTTTAATTTATATTTTCCTTCTATTTTTTTTCTCCACTAGAAGGCCAAAATGCTTTCTGCTAATTGGTAGCATTGACCGGACAGGCGTAGAATCAGGCCATTATCCAATCTGTAGACACTCATTTCTTTCCTGTGTCAAAAATGACCTTTCTTCTCTAAAAGGGCATCCTTTAATATCTAGTCATTGTAGCTGTACCAACTGAAATAAAGAAATGTGCCTCACTGCCTCCCCTCAAAAAATACATCAGCATGACAAGATGTGAGTGGATTTTAAATAATATTTGAGAAAAAACTGTGAGAAGAAATGGCTTCAAGTAAACATCAAGGAAAATATTCTCCTGATCTTAGGAGTAGGCTATATTTATACATTTCTGCCTGGACTTATGAATGCTCTGCTAGTATTTTTTAAGGCATGGTTATAGAAAGTCTCTTAGGTTATAGCAATAAAAACTATATAACTCCAAGACATAATAATGATCAATCTAATTTTCACAGATAAACCCCAAAGTTTAGATAACTATGTTTCCTGAGGTACAGGTATTATAGCGTGTGTCTAAAGAGTTCTACCAATTCTTAAAGAGATTCTTGATCATGAAATCATGTAGACTTCAATGTTTCAATGGTTTGAAGTTTAGATATGTCATGGCATGGTGAAAATAATGTGGTAGACTATGGATAGTACACTGTGGCTGGGAAATGCTAGATTCTACAGGTTTGTTTGCTATGCAGCTGTTCAGCGTCTTTAATATACTAACTTATATTTTGACTCTCCAGTAAGAACAGTCTTGGCCATAACACCCTTTCTTTATAAATATTATCCTTAGACCATTTATCTGTGATAAAAGCCCAGTTTTTATCTTTAAATTCATTGTGAACAGGCACTTTTGTAAAGTACAATAAAAATTAATTAGTAGAAAAATGAAATAATAAAACAAATACTCCAAAGCTCAAACTCACAATGTTTATGAGATTCTAGAGACGGAGAATCACCTTGTAAAATTGAGTTGAACATTTCCCAATGCCCACTCTTAAGTTCTGCATTAAACTTGTCATGAACAGAACTGAACTGCTTGTCTTCATATTGATTGATTACTTGAATGTGTAATTTTCTTCAACTGGTTTATCTGTGCACATTGACACCCTTATGCCCTGGCCTTTCTAACAGTGTCTCCCTTTATAATTTTTACACACCTGTTATAAGACAATTTTAGGTGGAGAAAAATGTCAATCTGAAATCCAGAACATGGAAACTGAACAAAAAATTCTAAAAGGAAGGGCGAAATGGGATATACAAGGTGAGACAGGTAGATCATAGGCTCAACTATTGTGTTTGCATATTTTAGATCTTTCAAAATTAAATCAGTATTAAGGAAACAATTAAACTCTCCCCTCCAACCAGGTGGCTGCTTCTAGATAACAGCAACAGACAGAAACAGTTTTATAAAAGGAGAGCTGTTTCCCAAGAGTTAGAAGTCTTGTGAAAGGAATAATTAACACTTCTTCATAAGCTGAAAGGAACTCTCTCACTCCCCTTTCCCCCATATTAGTGTATTTGTAGGAAAGGTTGGCCAAAGGGGAAAAAAATCTTATGTTTGTCTAAGAAATACAAATATTTCTATGGGCTTTATTACTTAAACTGAGAGCAAGGGGCGGGGGTTGTATTGAAAAACGAAAGACTGCGTAGAAATGCCTTATTCTTCTAACTATCACACTTCCTTCTGCCTTTAGCACTAATAACTTAAGAGACACAATCCCAACCAAGGCTCCTGCTAAACAGTTGCTTTCCTTACAGCACTGCCTCCTCCCAAAATGTAACCCAGGGAGTTCTGCAGGGTTGAATTCAGCACTGACCAGACACAAAGCATGCAAATTCTCCTGAAATAAGGACCCTCCAATATATCACTGAGGAAATAACTGTTTTGCATAGTCCCACAGTTTATAAAATTGCATGGAAGAGCTTTTCTGTCTGCAAGGGTAAATATTTTCTTCAACCATGGTTAAAACTCATTTTTAACCATGGTTGAAGATAAATGATGTCACCGTGGACTTGCTGTTGGGTTGCTGCCTTAACATTGCCTTTCTCTAGCACGTCTTTCATCTCTTCTGACTTTTCTCTCCCCAGCTTTTTCTTCTCCATTTTAGCCACTAGCCTAAAGCCTAGGGGTCCAGGAATCCTATTAAGATGATAGCAAATAATCCCAAATTGACTGCTAAAAGCTAAGAGATGATCTACTCTTGGAAAGCATACTGGAAACAAAGTTGCTATTAGATCTAAATTGTCCTCTCAGCATTTCAACTATGAGATAAATGTTTTAGGCTTAAAGATTTCTGAAGTTCCCTCCTAGCTCTAAAAGATTACAGCTCAGTGGGGTACAGTATATCCCACTTATTCATAAGCCAAGCTTTCTGGAACACAGTACAAAACATAAACGTTGGGAGAAATCAACTCTAAGAAACAAACAAATAACGTAATTTTTCCGAAGTCGCTATTTTAAATCTGGGCATTGTAGTATTTTAACTCTTTTTCTCAACTAACATTAAATTTCTGAAAAGGAGACTGATTTTTTAAATCACTATGTTCCAGGCACTCAACTTATTTTATTTAATTCTCCCAGTTCTATGAAGGAGGTATTTTACAAGTGAAGAAACTGATACTCAGAGAGGTGTTTTAATCAAGATCATTTATAGGTAATGTAAGCAAGATGACATCTACCTTGTACAGGCAAGCTTAGATTCAAAACCAGTAGAATGTGATATTAAATCAAAATATCTGTTTTTTATTATAAACACAGCGTCAATATAGAAATTTGGGGAAATACTAAGAAAAAATAGAATTTAAATTTCTCTCACAATTTATAGATAATTACTACTAACATTTAGATTTAGATGTGTTTCCTTCTAGATATAAACATGTTTATATCTATTGCATGTTTTAATAAAAATGCTGCTTCTAATCTTTCCTCTACATAAGAGTAGTTCCTTGAGTTGGTTAATTTTTCAGTATCAAAGTAGAAAGAATAATCTGGCAGGAAAACAACAAAGAAAATAATTAATGATGGACACATTGATAGCAGAATAAATGACATCTATCATCATGAAATCAAAGAAGGATAAAAAGAAAGGATAAAAGGCAGAAACAATTTACAATTTTATCATTGCATGGAAATGTCATTCTCATATGTATTGATGTTCCAGAGTCATCAAGCAGAGGATGCAAAAAAAAGGTATTCTTTTTGAAAAAAGAAAAATTTCAAGGACTTTATAGAACAGCTGAGATTTAGGGGGAAAATGATTACTTAAAGGTATCAGCTTTAGGTAATCTGGAGCATTCTTCTTCATTGTCCTCCTTATCATCTAACAAAAGTGACAATTTTTCCAATGGCCTTGAACAGGGTCCTTATTTTGGAGAAGATATCTTTTATCTCTTGCCACATCACCTATCTATAGTCCACACTGGGACAGGCCTTTGAAAGTAAACACAAAAGCAGCTTGGAAAAACAGCAACCATTCTTGAAGGAAGTAGTGATGGTGGAAACTTATGATTCAACTCATTTCTAGACATTTTTAATTGATTTAAACAGACAGCTAGACCATTTCTTTCTAATTCATGCTCCAGAGAAAATATAATTTTCTACTGTGAAATGCCACCTGGAAACTGATAGAAATTTACATCCAATGGCCTGGGCCCCAAAATACTTTTTTTAAACAGCCAGTCTCTGGCATTTGAGTTTGAAGAATCAAGCTATTAATCTTTTGTAAATACTAACTTATTAACGTCAATTGATGAATCTGAACTGCAGCATTGAAACAAATTTCTTTGCTTTGAACAGTTAGCAAATCCTCCATAACAAATCAAGTCCTTTGACCTTGCAGACCCTTATGCAAGTATTATATATTGGCTTCCCTGAAGCTCCAATGCCCTAAGGAAACGTACAGATCCACAGTGGGGCTCATAAGTGTCTCAAATATAGAACTACATCTTACTTCTTACAACAGATATGGTCTTAAAATTTAGTCATAATTTGAAAATTATGCAAAATTCTATATAAAATTAGCAAAAGGCAAATCACTTATCAGTTGTCATTAACATTCCCAAAAGAATCACTTTGTAAGAACAATTAATTCTTCTGTGATGTAAATAATCACTTCTGTTCTTTTAATTTATTTTTTAAAAATAAATTCAAATTTGTATATGCTGGTTTTGTTTAGAGGACACTGGACTTTTATTATCAGTCACATTTGAGCTAGCTTCTAGAGGAAATGGTATTTCAATAAATTTTACTAAAAATTCTGCTTTTGAAAATACAGGCAGAAAGGCTAGTGATAGGAGCATCTGGGTCAAGAGGTTTATCCCCTTCCTACTGCTCCGTAAGTTTTCATTTTCATTAGTGAAGATTTCTCTCCTTAAGCTGAACCTGACACTATGAAAATACCCGTAGCCTTCAAGGAGCAGCACCTTTAAATCACCATCCATAAATAGCAGAACCTGAAAGAGGCCTTAGAAATGAAGTTTAACTAACCATCTGTAAATAGGAGAACCTGAAAGAGAGCTTAGAAATGAGGAAGTTTCACTCATGGTTGTATGAAATTGGAAACTGAGTTCCAGGGTGGTTAAAATAAAGTGTTCATATTTGCACAAAAAAATTATTAGAAGAGCCCCAATCAAATCCACATTTTTTGATACTAAAAAGTATTATATTTCTAATATAAAATGCTGTCTCCTCTGCAGCACTTAAATCTCTGTAATCTATATCCATAACCATGTCTACATCTGTAGATCACAAATACAATTTTAAAGAAAGT
Organism: Homo sapiens; assembly: GCF_000001405.40. Lineage (NCBI taxonomy): Eukaryota > Metazoa > Chordata > Mammalia > Primates > Hominidae > Homo > Homo sapiens. The sequence goes on along the minus strand of NC_000010.11, from coordinate 90,269,594 downwards.
GTTGGAGTCAAACGCCAATTCATTTCTTTTGTTTGAGTGTGTTTTCTAGGCTCATTGGAAATAAAATTTTTAAAAACATCTTTAAAAACTTTTTGTTCCTGTTCATAAAATTGAGAATTCATTCTTGCAAAGGATGTTCACATTCTATGTACGTTCTAAACATAGAGATGCCTAAAATGAGGATTGGCTGAACTTTTAAATATAATGAAGGTCTTGCAGTTGAAAATATTCTCCAACCAAATGACTTCAATCTGCTTTGTGCTTCTGAGATCTGGATCTAAGGGAAATTTTTCAAAGATAAGCATGAGACTGAAAGGAAATACAGTCTCCTATTATCTACCTTGAGTTTTAGTGTCACAAACATTTGAAAAGCTTCCCTGGAACATGCGCTGTACAACCTCTTCTCACCAGGGTTGAAAGGAGGCTTCTAACCTCAGCTTTATTATTTCTCAAGACGGCCAGTTAAGTAACACCATCTTTTCAGAAAGATTGAATGGGCCTGAGAGGTACCCTACTAACAAATTGGATAGAAAGAAAGTGGGCCTGGTAACAAGCATCACGTAAAGAACTGGTTCTCAAACTTGGCTGTTCATTGTAATAACTTAGGGAGCTTTAAAAGTACTAGCTGCTCACAAAGTTTGCAAATATTCAGTAATGTTATGGACATTTTTATGAATATGTTTTCAAAATCCCTATCTGTTTATTAAATTCTATTTGATTAATTAATTTGTTAACCTATGTTCCTCGTATGACTCCTTTCTGATCTTGTGGAATAGCATTTTATTTAGTTTACCTAGATCTTGATGCATAGATAGTCCTTGATTATTTAGCATGGATTTCCTCTGCTGTAATATTTCTCAACCCTGCAAATGAGAATTATTTTGGGAGTTTAGGAGGAAAAAAATATACCTGGTCCCCAATTCACAAAAATTCTGAGCTAATTGATCTGGGATTGAACCAGGGTCTCAGTATGTTTTTAAAGTTCTTTGTAGTGGCTGGCCTCCAAGCTGATACCCAAATGAGCCCCAGCTATTGATACTGCACCGTTTTTGGCTCCCCCACTTCCACGTTGTACCAGGGCTCTCCATGCAATCAATAAAGTAGTACAGAAGTGATAATATGATTAACTTGTAAAAGATACTTCAGTGTTCATTTTAATTGTACTCTCTCTTTCTCAGATAATTTGCTTTGAGGAAGCCAATTGCCATGCCATGAGCAGCTCTATGGAGAGGTCCATGTGGTAAGGAACTAAGGCCTCTTGTCACCAGCCTTGTGAGTGAGCTTGCAAGCAGATTCTGGATGATTGCAGCCCTGTTCTACATCTTGGTTGCAACTTCATGAAAGACCTGAGCCAGAATCATCCAGCTAAGCTTCTCCCAGTTTCCTGGCCCTCAGAAATTCTGTGGCAAAACAAATGCCTGTTGTTTTGAGGTGCTAAATTTTAGAGTTCTTTTTTTTTTTTTTTTTTTTTTTTTTTTTTGAAATGGAGTCTTACTTTGTCGCCCAGGCTGGAGTACAATGACAATGGCACAATCTTGGTTCACTGCAACCTCTGCCTTCTGGGTTCAAACGATTCTCCTTTCTCAGCCTCCCGAGTAGCTGGGATTACAGGTGTGTGCCACCACGCCCACCTAGTTTTTTGTATTTTTAGTAGAGGAAGGGTTTCACCATGTTGGCCAGGCTGGTCTTGAACTCCTGACCTCAAGTGATCCACCTGCCTTGGCCTCCCAAAGTGCTGGGATTACAGGCGTGAGCTACCACACCCGGCCTAGAGTAATTTTTTTATACAGCCATAGATAACTAATAGACTCATGTGATCCTAATTAGTAGACAGGTTTAAGCCAGAAAAACTATTGAGGTTTCTAGATAACTTGTTCTTATTGGTACTAATTTAATTCCATTATGATAAGAGAATATACTGCAGACTGTACTAGCCCAGCAAATGGTCTATATGGTTGAAATTACAATGTTCACTGGAAAAGAATGTCTAGTTTGCATTTATTGTGTGTAATATACTGTAAATGTCAATTAGATCATTCTGGTCAATATTCAATATTATTTTTCAGATATTATGTCTTTACTTATTTCTGCCTAGTTGTTTTATCCATTTCTGAGAGAATTTTTAAAATCTCCAACTATGATAATGAATTTATATATTTCTCCCTTTTATTCCATCAATTTTTGCTTCATATGTTTTGAAACTTTTTAGATGCATGAAGATTTATGATTGTTATGTCTTTCTTATTAATTCAACATTTTACCTATGAAATATCCAAATATCACTCTTTGTCTCTGGTAAACTCTGTAGTGTCTACATTATTTTGATTCCTTAGCCTTCTCATGCTTATTATTTGCATGATATGTCTTTTTTCATCCTTTTATTCTCAACTTTCTGTGTCTTTATATTTAAGACATATCTCCAGTTTACAGTTATTATATGGGGGAGAATTTATCTGATCATAACTACTGTACCACTATTGAGCATAAAACCCCCATCTTTTATTTTTATCTTACTTTTATGTTTTTAAGCAGAACTTAAGTTTATTTGGAATATTTCCAGGTTGAATTGTGCTCTTTGTTGTTTTTATTGTCACTCACTCATGATGGCTTGTTTTATACTGCACCACTTATTTTATAATTTTCAATTATATCCTTATACTCAGAATTTTTTTGTTGTTTGTTCATTTTAATGTTTATTTTTAGTTCTGCGGTACATTTGCAGGATGTGTTGGTTTGTTACATAGGTAGACGTGTGCCATAGTGGTTTGCTGCACTTACCAACACATCACCTAGGTATTAAGCCCAGCATGCATTGACTATTTTTCCTAATACTCTCCCTCCCCCCAGACCACCCCCAGCAGGCCCCAGTGTGTGTTGTTCCCCTCCCTGTGTCCAAGTGATCTCATTGTTCAGCTCCCACTTATAAGTGTTTGGTTTTCTGTTCTTGCGTTAGTTTGTTGATGATGATGGTTTCCAGCTTCATTCATGTCCCTGCAAATGACATGATCTCATTCCTTTCTATGGCTAAATAGTATTTCATGGTGTATATGTACCACATTTTCTTTATCCAGTCTATCATTGATGGGCATTTGAGTTGATTCCATGTCTTTGCTATTGTGAATAGTGCTGCAATGAATATATGCATACATGTATCTTTGTACTAGAATGATTTATATTCCTTTGGGTATATACCCAGTAATTGGATTGTTGGGTCAAATAGTATTTTTGGTTGTAGATCTTTGAGGAATTTCCACTTCATCTTCCACAATGGCTGAACTAATTTACATTCACACCAACAGTATAAAAGCGTTCCTATTTCTCCCCAATCTCACCAGCATCTGTTGTTTCTTGACTTTTAATAATGGTCGTTCTGATGGCACGAGATGGTATCTCATTGTGGTTTTGATTTGCGTTTCTCTAACGATCAATGATGTTGAGATTTTTTCATCTTTGTTGGCTGCATGAATGCCTTCTTTTGAGAGGTATCTGTTCATGTCCTTTGCCCACTTTTTAATGGGGTTGTTTATTTTGTTTCTTGTAAATTTGTTTGAGTTCCTTGTAGATCCTGGGTATTAGACCTTTGTCGGATGGATAGATTGCAAAGATTTTCTCCCACTCTGTTGGTTGCCTGTTCACTCTGATGATAGTTTTTGTTTGTTTGTTTGTTTGTTTTTGCTGTGCAGAAACTCTTTAATTTAGTTAGATCTCATTTGTTAATTTTTGCTTCTGTTGCAATCATTTTGGTGATTTCATCATGAAATCTTTGCCCAAGCCTACGTCCTGAATTGTATTGCCTAGATTTTCTTCTAAGGTTTTTATAGTTTTGGGTTTTACATTTAAATCTTTAATTTATCTTGAGTTAATTTTTGTATAAGGTGTGAGGAAGGGGTCCAGTTTCAATTTCCTGCAAATGGATAGCCAGTTCTCTCAGCATCATCTATTAAATAGGGAATCCTTTCCTCATTGCTTGTTTTTGTCAGGTTTGTCAAAGATCAGATGGTTGCAGATGTGCAATCTTATTTCTGAGTTCTCTATTCTGTTTCAGTGGTCTATGTGTCTGTTTTTGTACCAGCATCATGCTGTTTTGGTTACTGTAGACTTATAGAATAGTTTGAAGTCCGTTAGGTGATGCCTCCAGCTTTGTTCTTTCTGCTTAGAATTGTCTTGGCTAGACAGGCTCTTTTTTGGTCCCATATAAATTTTAAAATGATTTTTTAAAATTCTATGAAGAATGTCAATGGTAGTCTAATGGGAATAGCATTGAATCTATAAATTGCTTTGGTCAGTATGGCCATTTTTGTGATAGTGATTTTTCCTGTCCTTGAGCATGCAATACTTTTCTATTTGTTTGTGTCCTCTCTGGTTTCCTTGAACAAAGTTTTGTAGTTCTCCTTGAAGAGATCCTTCACTTCCCTTGTTAACTGTATTCCTAGACATTTTATTCTCTTCGTAGGAATTGTGAATGGGCGTTCATTTGTAATTTGGCTCTCTGCTTGCCTGTTGTTGTATAAGAATGCCTGTGACTTCTGCACATTGATTTTGTATCCTGAGACTATGCTGAAGTTGTTTATCAGCTTAAGAAGCTTTTGAGCTGAGACAATGGGGTTTTCTAGATATAGCATACATCATCTACAAAGGAAGACATTTTGTCTTCCTCCCTTCCTATTTGAATACCCTTTATTTCTTTCTCTTGCCTCATTGCCCTGGTCAGAACTTCCAATACTGTGTTATATAGGAATAGTGACAGAAGGCATCCTCATCTCATGCTGGTTTTCAAGGGGAATGCTTCTTCAATCAGAATTTTTGTATAAAATTGTGGGTGGCCTGTGTTGAGGGTTTGATCCCCAAACATGTTTGCATTTCATTATTCCAAGTTCCTTGGCTTGCTATTATCCTTGAACACTTTAATTTCTTAGTTTCCTGACACCAGAGAAAGGGTCAATTTGAACCATAGATCCATTGAGGACAGGTGTATAATTGCAAGAAAAATTTTCTACTAAAGCCTTTGCTGAAATAGAAGAGTTTTATGTCATCTGCCTTTACAACACATAGCTGTTTTTAAATTCTAATTTTCACTAATAATTTGGTCCTTTGCAACTTTATTCAGGAGTCTCAGTAACAATCTAACTACTTTACGTAGGCCCAACATCTTGTCTATGTCATTGTGTAGCTGCTGAAATCCAATACTTTTGTTATGGAGGTTGGAAATACCAACTATTTGCAAGGCAGCCATAGCTTCAGTATTTGTTTAACAGTCTGTTATTCAACTTTCTTTCTCTTTGTGGCTCTTGGAGACTCCCTTGCTTTCTTGGAAGCTCACTTATAAACTTAAAAGATATTCATTATCCTTATTTCTCGGTGCTTTGCAGATTTTACAAACTATTTTAAATTTGCTTATAAACAAACACTTAAGGAAAATGCCTCTTTACCTCAACATGAACTTCCATTTAAAAAGATGTTCACCTTATGAAATCTAAATGATATTGTACATAAGGAGTACAACTATGTTGCTCTGAAGTTTTAATACTGTACCGTTTTAAGAGGGTGAGCAGTATGCGTGAAGGTTTAGCATAGGAAGTGTCTACAGTGCTGTGTACTTGTTTCCAGCTTTTGATATGAGCAGAAAGTGACTCTTTTTGCCAACTATACCTTCCATAAAATAAAAAAAAAAAAATTGATGATCACAGAAAAGAAAGTAGAGGGGCAAATAATTTGGACAGCTAGCATGGTATTTATTATTTTGGAAGAAGTAAAGGCTTCCATAGAAATTAGTTCATAAAGACTCAGAGCAAAATGACTCTACTTTAATCAGCTGTGTACCTAAGTTCAAGATACCTAAGTTTAAGAACTCATAAATAAGGGCCTGGAAGCAATAAGTGACACACTATGCAAATTTCATGGGATATAACAATGTGGTACAGAGTCTGGAAAAGAATAAAATCGAATAAGAACAATCTACTTTGCCCCTCTATTGAAAAACTGACAATAATTCTTTACTGGGGAAGAATTGTAAGTTAGTCTAAGGACTCCCAAAATAATCTTTAAAATATGCCATCTCTAAATGTATATTACAAACTTGTTATGGTCTAAAAGAATATTTTGAAACATGCTGTCTTAGTCTGCTTTATGTTGCTATAAAAGAATATCTGAAACTGCGTAGTTTATAAAGAAAAGAGGTTTATTTAGCTCACAGTTCTCCAGGCTGAGAAAAACTCAAGGTGTGACCCTGGCTTCTGGCAAGGGCTTTTGTGCTTTGTCACAACATGGTGAAGAAGATCAAAAAGGAAGCAGATATATGTGAAGAGAGGAAAACCTGAGGGGCATCCTGGCTTTATAACAACCCACTCTTGCAGGAACTAATGCATTCCTGCAAGAACTAATCCAGTCTTGTGAGAGCAAGAACCAACTCACTACCTAGAGAACAGCACCAAGCCATTCATGAGGGATCCTCCCCCATGACCCAAACACCTCCCACTAGGCTCTACCTCCCAACACTGCCACATTGGGGATCTAAGGTCAACATAAGTTTTGGTGGAGACATTCAAAACATACCCTAACTATACCACATACTCAACAAATCTTTTTGCCACTTTCTTAAAGTTCTGAGTTTAAGAATTCTCATTAGTTATTTTTCTAGAAGGAAAAACATCCTTGGTTCTCGTGCTTATAGAGGTCAAATCAGACAGAGTCCTTTTTAGAAAATGTTATCTAAGCAAAGCTTATTTCTTTCATGGTGCACAAAGTATCACACATTGCACAGGCAAATGGGGTCCGTTCTTCCAAGGACCCTTGAATACAGTAGCTGTTTAAGCACTTAGTTGGCCATGCTAGCAAGAGTTCAGCTCAATTGTGAAGACACACTAGTCAATTACAACACAGGAAAGGCAGTGTTTTTTGTTACTGTGGTAAACTATGTGTAACATAAAATATACCATTTTAACCATTTTTAAGTGTGGAATTCAATGATATTAAGTACAATCACATTGTTGTGCAACCATCACGACCATCTATCTCCACAACTTTCATCTTCCCAAACTGAAACTCTATACCCATTAAACAATAACTCCACATTCCTCCCTCAGCCCCTGGCAGCCACCATTCTACTTCCTATCTCTATGAATTTGACTACTAGGTACATCATATAAGCGGAATGACACAATATGTGCCTTTTTGTGACTAACTTATTTCACTTAGCTTATGTCTTCAAGGTTCATTTATGTTATACTGTGTGTCAGAATTGTCTTGTTTTTTATTGTGGAAAAAGGCACATACAAAAATTTATCCTCTTAATAATTTTTAAGTGTACATTACAGTATTGTTAACTTTATGTATACTGTTTATTATACAATAGATTTTTAGAACTTTTATAACTTGCATGGCTGAAACTCTGTATCCATTGAACAACTTCCTATTATTCCGTCAACCCCTGGCAACCACCATTCTGCTTTCTGCCTCTATGAGTTTAATTACTTTAGATATTTCATATAAGCGGAATAATGCACTATTTGTTTTGTGTGATTGGCTTGTTTCACTTTGCATAATGTTCTCAAGTTTCATTCAGGTAGCAACATATGACAGGATTTTCTTCTTTCTTGAAATTGAATAATATTAGGCAGTTTGGGGAATCAAAAGAAGGTTAACTCATTTGAGGATGGGCATATGACTACAAGGTTTCTTTCTTATACAGTACCTGCTGAAGATAATTTTTTTCTCCATTTCATCTTTTTCTATATTGCATTTTTCACAAATATGAACTTTTTATTAAAAAGTAAATTATCATAATAATCATTAAATACATTGTAGGCTATGTGTGCAAGGCAACACATTGTCTCATTTAACCCTCACAATCGTACAATGCAGTAGGCATTGCTATTATCATTTCTGTTTTAGAAATGAGGGTATTGTTCAAAGACATTAAGTAACTTTGCTGAGGCCAAGATCCCAAGCTAATGAGATGGGGAGCTGAGATTATTTAATATTTTTCAGGCTGCGCATATCTTAATTTGCTAGATCTGCAGCTGTTCTCCATAAAGAGCATGCTTATTGTTCATATCATGATTTTCTTGGCTATCTTTCTAGCTTTCCCTACCTTACTACCATACTTTGATTTGGGTATTCACAACTCTTCATAAATCTTCCTTCGGCCTTTTAACTCTTTCATTGTCCCTCTCTCTTTCAGTAGTAGAATTATAAAAATATTGCAACACAATTCAGTTTGAGGTACAAGAATTAAATCATAAGAAAAAAAACATAGTCCTATGTGAGAAATGCCCTGTGGAGTTAGTAACAGCTGGTTTAACAAAGAAGCAGCTACACTAAAAAAGGTTTTTAAAGAGTATTTTTAGTTCCTTTGGATTTTCATCTCCTTTTGGAGCTTTAGCATTAGTTGTACTCCATACCATATGTTATGATAGTTTATATTTTGCAGCTGAGTTCCCAACTTCAGACAATTCTAAAAGTTCCTAGAGTCCTCCTTGATGGAAAATGGCAAATAATAAAACCAAAGAAAGGATTCATATCTTCTATGACACCAAAGACCAAGTTCTGATACTCATATACATGGCCTATAGAGAGTCTGATGAGTCAAAGGCCCCCGTGCACTATCTGGTAACAGAGTCCATCCAGAATCATTGACACTTTGTATTACAAAGGATCAAATCAACTACTGAACTATATTAGTCACTAGGATGATCCTAATAGTGAAATTCAGCTGTCCTTTGAAATCATTCCTAATTATTATTACTATCTTCATTTGTTGCAATATATGATTTCATTTAATATGCCTAAAAACTTTGTGAACTTAGAATGCCCATTTTATATATTAGCAAATTGAGTCTCAGAGCGATAAAGTATCTTACAGAAGCTTACAAAGCTTCTACATAGCAGAGCTGGGATTTAAAACCAATGCTTTCTTATTCCAAAACTTTTTATCCTAACTTCACAGTCTACATAACTAAGCTATCTTTTATAATGCTTCTGGAAGTTTCTTTATATTCAAATTAAGACATGAGGAAAAGAAGATACTTCTTGGTGCCAGAGACTTCCTGTTTCTCCCCAATATTCATTTTTCTCTTATTCTCTGTTAATAAATTCCTAATTTTTAGCTGGACATATTGATGTCCTGCCATAAAACCATATTTCACAGATTTCATTGGTGATAAATGTGGCATTGCAATTAAGTTCTCTCTAATAAGATTTAAATAGATGTTATGAGTTACTTCTGGGAAGTCCTCTTAAAAGATAGAGGATACAACTCTTTTCTTCCTTCCTCATTACATTTTTATTTTTAAGGAGTGAAGAAAATACCTAGAACATTGGCAGCCATATTTGTCTCTAAAAATGGGTTTCTTGCTATAGGGATGATGGGGCAGTGAGCTGGAAGGAACCTTCCTGATAACACCAAGGAAACACCGTAATAACCATGGACTGCTTAACCTATACTTCTTTTTATACAAAAAGAAATACATTTCTCTCTTTAAGCTGTTTGTATTTATTTCAATTATTGCCATTAAATCTACTCTTAATTAATACATTCTTATCTACCTAAAATATTTCATATCTACAGGTTGCAGGGTAAAACTTAAATACCTATCTTGCAATCATGCAGACAAAAGCAGCATACTAAGGATTACAAAACAGTCAGGTATAAAATACCTGGGTCTTTGAGGACATTATTGAGATACTAAGTTAACTATTTCTAGAGTTACCCTACTTTGGAATTGATTATGTGAGGTAATAAATCTTCTCTTTTTTAAAAACCAGTAAGATAGGGCAGTCTGTAATTTGTAGAAGAATGGATTCTCTATGCTACATTACTACACCCATAGAATAAAATCCGAACTTCTTACTCATATCTACATACCTTCTATGAACTGGCTCCTGCCTATCTTTCAAATGTCACTTGCCCATGATGAGCACACTTATCTTGTCTGTTGTTTTCTGTATTTCCAGCATCTAGAACAGTGCTTGACACGTAGCAGTTGCTCAGTAAATATTTGTTGAGTGTGTTAGTGAAGGAATAGTGTCTCCTAGAAGTGAATATTTTGCTGTTTCCTTTGACTAGCCTCAATCACTCTGCTCTTTCTTCCCATATAAACCCTTAAATTTGAAAGTATCAATTCTAAATTTTTATCAAAATTGTTCATTATTTCTGTACTCTCTAGCACTCTCTCTTCTCTCCTCTGTCCCTTCAATTTTCCCATCATTCTTAAATACAGACAGTGATCATATCAATCTAGTGAGCTTGGGACATTAATAGGCAGCTGGTGGAGTTAGATGAGAGCTATTTTAAATGTTCCTTAGACCTATAATTAAAACTCTATGTCACAAATCCTTTATCTTTACAAATCCAGAAAAATAAAATTCAAAACTTCAGAGAATTCCTTCTTTTAAGCTAAAAATATGTTCCCATCTGTGTGAAACTGAAAAGCAATCAGTGCCTCCAGCTGTAAAAATAGAGATAGTCCCTTTACTATTGGTCTTCACAGCCTGGTAAAGTGGGGGACAAGAATATTCCTTCCCAGACACTATTATATGACTCGAGTGCCTCATTTTTGCTTGAATGTTATTACAAAACTGTTTCATTTATTTTAGAAGCTCTGATAAGAAAATCAAGCCCCACACATGTTTCTGTAAGCCATAGTTATCACTACTAAGACAGCATTTCTTCATTCTCTAGAGCTAAGAACTACCAATGTAATGAAGAAATGCTTCTGCCCTCTACCACCCTCAATGTCTTTGGGTAGCTGAGCCTACTACTCCCTAACCCTAGTCCACAGACGTTGTGCAATTATGGGTAAATTGTATTAAAACACCCCAAAAATAATGATGCCATGTGGATACAGAAAATTTTCATATTAATGCCCGTGTCCTCCTTTGTCAGAGAACTGCTTTGCAAATAATATGTATTGAAAGGCTACATAAGCCCTTTGCAGTCATTATCTCCCATACAATTACAGTTTTTAAAAAGATGGACATTTTTATTCTCTCCATCTTACAAAATTATTATTAATAATTGTACATTTTTTTCTGTTTTTCTCTCCAGATCTACATTCCACCCTTCTCCTTCCCATTCCATATCTTGGGAAGCTGATGTCTATAGACTGCATTAATGAACTTCCATACCATCTGACTTCCAGTTAAGTTTGGCCAAAAGGAGTCATTGGAATGAGATCAGAGGGTAGGAAGAAAGAGAAGTTGGATAATTTTTCCTCTCACTCATCCTTGTCAGGTCTAAAGGGGTTCTTGTTCTCTCTCTCCCATTGCACTAAAGGTAGTAGCAGTTTCCCTAGGTTGCTAATCTCAGGAGTTTTATATTCCTTGTTGATTTTCCTTAACCCTCCTATAATTTTAAAAATAATCTCTTCCCGAAACTCCCCTTTGCCATCTGTCTCCTGTTAGGATATGACTGGTAGACCAATCCAGGGTCTCAATGGGAAGTGGTTAGTGACAGAGCTAGGCCGATATTCCAACCTGTGAGCTTATTCATAAGATACAACTTTTTTTTTCATTTTCCTTTTTTTTCTCTACTGGGTGACCACATTTTGTGCCATTATGCAAAGAGTTTAATGCTACCCTTTCTTAGTATATTGCCTACCTCAGGAGCTCAGCAATGATTGTGTCATGCTCATCACAATGTGTTGCTCCAATAGCAGCCAAACAGTCACACCCCTTCCATATGTCTGCTAATACTTTGACCATCTGTAGAGCCATGCATGGTGTAGGACACAAGTAATAGACTTGGCTTCTGAGGGCTCACATTCTGGTTCTAGACCTATCATTTTCCAGCTGTAAGTCACTGAGACTCTGAGACTCAGAATCCATACAATGGGGATAATCTTGCTAAGTCCTGCCTAACTTTTTAAAAAATAATTTCAACTTTTATTTTAGATTCAGAGGGTACATGCACAGGTCTGTCACATGGGAACACTGCATGATGCTGAGGTTTGAGGTATGGATGATCCTGTCACTCAAGGCAGTGAGCACAGCACCCAATTGGCAGTCCCCCAGTCCTTAAGCCCTCCCTCCCTTTCTCCCTTCCTCCTTCAGCAGTCCTTATTGTTCATTGCTCCCATCTTTATGTGTGTGTGTATTCAATGTTTAGCTTCCACTTATAAGTGATAACATGCAGTATTTTGTTTTCAGTGCTTGCATTAATTTGCTTAGGATAATGGCCTCCAGCTTCATCCATGTTGCTGCAAAGGACATGTTTTTGGTCTTTTAGTATTCCATGGTATATATGTGCCACATTTACTTTATCCAGTCCATCGCTGATGGGCACCTAGGTTGATTCCATGTCTTTGTTATTGTGAATAGTGCTGAGATGAACATATGGGTGCATGTGTCTCTTTGGTAGAATGATTTATTTTGCTTTGGGTATATACTTAGTAATGGGATTGTTGGGTCAAATGGTAGTTCTGTTTCAAGTTCCTTGAGAAATCTCCAAACCACTTTCTACAGTAGCTGAAGTAATTTACATTCCCACCAACAGTGTATACGTCCTGCCTAACTTATAGAAATATTATGAGTTGAAACTTCTGTCACAAATGTGAGGTTCAAAGGGAACAATGAATGATCTAAGTATACAGTCAATTCTGACTGCAGAATTCCGGAGTGCAGACCACTTTCTTTGTTTACCAAAGCAATCTTTGGTTCTAGAATGAAAGCTTTTTAAAAATTTGGTATATAATATACATATTTATGGGATACATGTTATATTTTGATACATGTGTACAATGTGTAATAATCAAATGAGGGTAACTGGGATATCCATCAGCTCAAGAATTTATTATTTTTTTATGTTGAGCACATTCCAATTCTTTTCTTCTAACCATTTTGAAATATGCAATGAATTATTTTTAACTGTAGTCTCCATACTATACTGTCAAATAATAAATCATATTTCTTCTATATAATAATATGTTTGTACCCATTAAGCAACTTTTCTTTTTTTTGTTGTTTTTTTTTATTATTATTATACTTTAAGTTTTAGGGTACATGTGCACAATGTGCAGGTTAGTTACATATGTATACATGTGCCATGCTGGTGTGCTGCACCCACTAACTCGTCATCTAGCATTAGGTATATCTCCCAATGCTATCCCTCCCCCCTCCCCCCACCCGACAACAGTCCCCAGAGTGTGATGTTCCCCTTTCTGTGTCCATGTGTTCTCATTGTTCAATTCCCACCTATGAGTGAGAATATGCAGTGTTTGGTTTTTGGTTCTTGTGATAGTTTACTGAGAATGATGATTTCCAACTTCATCCATGTCCCTACAAAGGACATGAACTCATCATTTTTTATGGCTGCATAGTATTCCGTGGTGTATACGTGCCACATTTTCTTAATCCAGTCTATCATTGTTGGACATTTGGGTTGGTTCCAAGTCTTTACTATTGTGAATAATGCCGCAATAAACATACGTGTGCATGTGTCTTTATAGCAGCATTATTTATAGTCCTTTGGGTATATACCCAGTAATGGGATGGTTGGGTCAAATGGTATTTCTAGTTCTAGATCCCTGAGGAATCGCCACACTGACTTCCACAATGGTTGAACTAGTTTACAGTCCCACCAACTGTGTAAAAGTGTTCCCATTTCTCCACATCCTCTCCAGCACCTGTTGTTTCCTGACTTTTTAATGATTGCCTTTCTAACTGGTGTGAAATGGTATCTCATTGTGGTTTTGATTTGCATTTCTCTGATGGCCAGTGATGATGAGCATTTTTTCATGTGTTTTTTTGACTGCATAAATGTCTTCTTTTGAGAAATGTCTGTTCATGTCCTTTGCCCACTTTTTGATGGGGTTGTTTTTTTCTTGTAAATTTGTTTGAGTTCATTGTAAATTCTGGATATTAGCCCTTTGTCAGATGAGTAGGTTGCGAAAATTTTCTCCCATTTTGTAGGCTGCCTGTTCACTCTGATGGTAGTTTCTTTTGCTGTGCAGAAGCTCTTTAGTTTAATTAGGTCCCATTTGTCAATTTTGGCTTTTGTTGCCATTGCTTTTGGTGTTTTAGACATGAAGTCCTTGCCCATGCCTATGTCCTGAATGGTAATGCCTAGGTTTTCTTCTAGGGTTTTTATGGTTTTAGGTCTAACGTTTAAGTCTTTAATCCATCTTGAATTGATTTTTGTATAAGGTGTAAGGAAGGGATCCAGTTTCAGCTTTCTACGTATGGCTAGGCAGTTTTCCCAGCACCATTTATTAAATAGGGAATCCTTTCCCCATTGCTTGTTTTTCTCAGGTTTGTCAAAGATCAGATAGTTGTAGGTATGTGGCGTTATTTCTGAGGGCTCTGTTCTGTTCCATTGATCTATATCTCTGTTTTGATACCAGTACCATGCTGTTTTGGTTACTGTAGCCTTGTAGTATAGTTTGAAGTCAGGTAGTGTGATGCCTCCAGCTTTGTTCTTTTGGCTCAGGATTGACTTGGCGATGCGGGCTCTTTTTTGGTTCCATATGAACTTTAAAGTAGTTTTTTCCAATTCTGTGAAGAAAGTCATTGGTAGCTTGATGGGGATGGCATTGAATCTATAAATTACCTTGGGCAGTATGGCCATTTTCACGATATTGATTCTTCCTATCCATAAGCATGGAATGTTCTTCCATTTGTTTGTATCCTCTTTTATTTCCTTGTGCAGTGGTTTGTAGTTCTCCTTGAAGAGGTCCTTCACATCCCTTGTAAGTTGGATTCCTAGGCATTTTATTCTCTTTGAAGCAATTGTGAATGGGAGTTCTCTCATGATTTGGCTGTCTGTCTGTGGTTGGTGTATAAGAATGCTTGTGATTTTTGTACATTGATTTTGTATCCTGAGACTTTGCTGAGGTTGCTTTTCAGCTTAAGGAGATTTTGGGCTGAGACAGTGGGGTTTTCTAGATATACAATCATGTCGTCTGCAAACAGGGACAATTTGACTTCCTCTTTTCCTAATTGAATACCCTTGATTTCCTTCTCCTGCCTAATTGCCCTGGCCAGAACTTCCAACACTATGTTGAATAGGAGTGGTGAGAGAGGGCATCCCTGTCTTGTGCCAGTTTTCAAAGGGAATGCTTCCAGTTTTTGCCCATTCAGTATGATATTGGCTGTGGGTTTGTCATAAATAGCTCTTATTATTTTGAGATACATCCCATCAATACCTAATTTATTGAGAGTTTCTAGCATGAAGGGTTGTTGAATTTTGTCAAACGCCTTTTCTGCGTCTATTGAGATAATCATGTGGTGTTTGTCTTTGGTTCTGTTTATATGCCAGATTACATTTATTGATTTGCATATATTGAACCAGCCTTGCATCCCAGAGATGAAGCCCACTTGATCATGGTGGATAAGCTTTTTGATGTGCTGCTGGATTCGGTTTGCCAGTATTTTACTGAGGATTTTTGCATCAATGTTCATCAAGGATATTGGTCTAAAATTCTCTTTTTTGGTTGTGTCTCTGCCCGGCTTTGGTATCAGGATGATGCTGGCCTCATAAAATGAGTTAGGGAGGATTCCCTCTTTTTCTATTGATTGGAATAGTTTCAGAAGGAATGGTACCAGTTCTTCCTTGTACCTCTGGTAGAATTCGGCTGTGAATCCATCTGGTCCTGGACTCTTTTTCATTGGTAAGCTATTGATTATTGCCACAATTTCAGCTCCTGTTATTGGTCTATTCAGAGATTCAACTTCTTCCTGGTTTAGTCTTGGGAGAGTGTAAGTGTCGAGGAATTCATCCATTTCTTCTAGATTTTCTAGTTTATTTGCATAGAGGTGTTTGTAGTATTCTCTGACGGTAGTTTGTATTTCTGTGGGATCGGTGGTGATATCCCCTTTATCATTTTTTATTGTGTCTATTTGATTCTTCTCTCTTTTCTTCTTTATTAGTCTTGCTAGTGGTCTATCAATTTTGTTGATCCTTTCAAAAAATGAGCTCCTGGATTTGTTAATTTTTTGAAGGGTTTTTTTGTGTCTCTATTTCCTTCAGTTCTGCTCTGATTTTAGTTATTTCTTGCCTTCTGCTAGCTTTTGAATGTGTTTGCTCTTGATTCTCTAGTTCTTTTAATTGTGATGTTAGGGTGTCAATTTTGGATCTTTCCTGCTTTCTCTTGTGGGCATTTAGTGCTATAAATTTCCCTCTACACACTGCTTTGAATGCATCCCAGAGATTCTGGTATGTTGTGTCTTTGTTCTCGTTGGTTTCAAAGAACATCTTTATTTCTGCCTTCATTTTGTTATGTACCCAGTAGTCATTCAGGAGCAGGTTGTTCAGTTTCCATGCAGTTGAGCGGTTTTGAGTGAGATTCTTAATCCTGAGTTCTAGTTTGATTGCACTGTGGTCTAAGAGATAGTTATAATTTCTGTTCTTTTACATTTGCTGAGGAGAGCTTTACTTCCAAGTATGTGGTCAATTTTGGAATAGGTGTGGTGTAGTGCTGTAAAAAATGTATATTCTGTTGATTTGGGGTGGAGAGTTCTGTAGATGTCTATTAGGTCTGCTTCTTGCAGAGCTGAGTTCAATTCCTGGGTATCCTTGTTAACTTTCTGTCTCATTGATCTGTCTAATATTGACAGTGGGGTGTTAAAGTCTCCCATTATTAATGTGTGGGAGTCTAAGTCTCTGTGTAGGTCACTCAGGACTTGCTTTATGAATCTGGGTGCTCCTGTATTGGGTGCATATATATTTAGGATAGTTAGCTCTTCTTGTTGAATTGATCCCTTTACCATGAAGTAATGGCCTTCTTTGTCTCTTTTGATATTTGTTGGTTTAAAGTCTGTTTTATCAGAGACTAGGATTGCAACCCCTGCCTTTTTTTGTTTTCCATTTGCTTGGTAGATCTTCCTCCATCCTTTTATTTTGAGCCTATGTGTGTCTCTGCATGTGAGATGGGTTTCCTGAATACAGCACACTGATGGGTCTTGACTCTTTATCCAATTTGCCAGTCTGTGTCTTTTAATTGGAGCATTTAGTCCATTGACATTTAAAGTTAATATCATTATGTGTGAATTTGATCCTGTCATTATGATGTTAGCTGGTTATTTTGCTCGTTAGTTGATGCAGTTTCTTCCTAGTCTCGATGGTCTTTACATTTTGGCATGATTTTGCAGCGGCTGGTACTGGTTGTTCCTTTCCATGTTTAGTGCTTCCTTCAGGAGCACTTTTAGGGCAGGCCTGGTGCTGACAAAATCTCTCAGCATTTGCTTGTCTGTAAAGTATTTTATTTCTCCTTCACTTATGAAGCTTAGTTTGGCTGGATATGAAATTTTGGGTTGAAAATTCTTTTCTTTAAGAATGTTGAATGTTGGCCCCCACTCTCTTCTGGCTTGTAGAGTTTCTGCCGAGAGATCTGCTGTTAGTCTGATGGGCTTCCCTTTGAGGGTAACCTGACGTTTCTCTCTGGCTGCCCTTAACATTTTTTCCTTCATTTCAAGTTTGGTGAATCTGACAATTATGTGTCTTGGTGTTGCTCTTCTCGAGGAGTATCTTTGTGGCATTCTCTGTATTTCCTGAATGTGAATGTTGGGCTGCCTTGCTAGATTGGGGAAGTTCTCCTGGATAATATCCTGCAGAGTGTTTTCCAACTTGGTTCCATTCTCCCCGTCACTTTCAGGTACACCAATCAGACATAGATTTGGTCTTTTCACATAGTCCCATGTTTCTTGGAGGCTTTGCTCATTTCTTTTTATTCTTTTTTCTCTAAACTTCCCTTCTCGCTTCATTTCATTCATTTCATCTTCCATCGCTGATACCGTTTCTTCCAGTTGATCGCATCGGCTCCTGAGGCTTCTGCATTCTTCACGTAGTTCTCGAGCCTTGGTTTTCAGCTCCATCAGCTCCTTTCAGCACTTTTCTGTATTGGTTATTCTAGTTATACATTCTTCTAAATTTTTTTCAAAGTTTTCAACTTCTTTGCCTTTGGTTTGAATGTCCTCCCGTAGCTCGGTGTAATTTGATCTTCTGAAGCCTTTTTCTCTCAGCTCGTCAAAGTCATTCTCCGTCCAGCTTTGTTCTGTTGCTGGTGAGGAACTGCGTTCCTTTGGAGGAGGAGAGGCGCTCTGCTTTTTAGAGTTTCCAGTTTTTCTGCTCTGTTTTTTCCCCACCTTTGTGGTTTTATCTACTTTTGGTCTTTGATGATGGTGATGTACAGATGGTTTTCTGGTGTGGATGTCCTTTCTGTTTGTTAGTTTTCCTTCTAATAGACAGGACCCTCAGCTGCAGGTCTGTTGGAGTACCCTGCAGTGTGAGGTGTCAGTGTGCCCCTGCTGGAGGGTGCCTCCCAGTTAGGCTGCTTGGAGGTCAGGGGTCAGGGACCCACTTGAGGAGGCAGTCTGCCTGTTCTCAGATCTCCAGCTGCATGCTGGGAGAACCACTGCTCTCTTCAAAGCTGTCAGACAGGGACATTTAAGTCTGCAGAGGTTACTGCTGTCTTTTGGTTTGTCTGTGCCCTGCCCCCAGAGGTGGAGCCTACAGAGGCAGGCAGGCCTCCTTGAGCTGTGGTGGGCTCCACCCAGCTTGAGCTTCCTGGCTGCTTTGTTTACCTAAGCAAGCCTGGGCAATGGTGGGCACCCCTCCC
Source organism: Homo sapiens (assembly GCF_000001405.40). Lineage (NCBI taxonomy): Eukaryota > Metazoa > Chordata > Mammalia > Primates > Hominidae > Homo > Homo sapiens. The sequence continues at coordinate 90,251,046 of NC_000010.11, read as the reverse complement.
CCAGGCTCGCTGCCGCCTGCAGTTTGATCTCAGACTGCTGTGCTAGCAATCAGCAAGACTCGGTGGGCATAGGACCCTCTGAGCCAGGTGTGGGATGTAATCTCGTGGTGCGCCGTTTTTTAAGCCCGTCGGAAAAGCGCAGTATTCGGGTGGGAGTGACCCGATTTTCCAGGTGCCGTCTGTCACCACTTTCTTTGAGTAGGAAAGGGAACTCCCTGACCCCTTGCGCTTCCCGAGTGAGGCAGTGCCTCGCCCTGCTTCGGCTCGCGCACGGTGCGCGCACCCACTGACCTGCGCCCACTGTCTGGCACTCCCTAGTGAGATGAACCGGGTACCTCAGATGGAAATGCAGAAATCACCCATCTTCTGCGTTGCTCACGCTGGGAGCTGTAGACCAGAGCTGTTCCTATTCGGCCATCTTGGCTCCTCCCCCAAGCAACTTTTCTTTATCTCCTCTTCCCCCCATTCTTCTCAACCAGAAATAACTAGCATTCTACTCTCTACCTCCATGAGATCCACTTTTTTAGCTCCCATTTATAAGTGAGAATGTGCCTTCATGGCATAATCAGGATGGGCAAACAGCAAGAAAGAGAGAATTAAATTGTGGTACATAATGAAATATGAAGAATTTTAATCCTCCCTGGAAAGCCTGAGTATATGAGAAGATAGTATGGGGAGAAGAGAGCAGGTAGAGGGAGAAGAAGCCAAACAACATGGTAATGGGCCCCAGCTCTCCTTGGAGTAGCAGCCCAGATGAAGTCTTCAGGGACAGGGAGAGTGGAGGGACTCCAAGTGTTTAATATTTCTTTCAATCATTTGTGTTCTGTGATGTAAATGGCCTGATGCCCAGAACTTCACGAAAATATCATGTGATACTTTGGAAATTGAAAGAATTTGGGTGGTATCCACTGGTATAGTCTGATCTGGAAAAGAACATGCCTGGTGGGATACATACAGAGCTGCCGTTGCATGGAAAGAGAGGATTGGAACCTTATGGGACATTGACTGATCTAATACAAGGTGTGAAGGGGTAGAGAGATAGAGTCTATAACTCCCAACTGCTTTTTAATAAACAAATAGTGAAATCAGACATCAGACCATCTCCCCTACATGGAGATCTATATTTTAGGCACTTCAAACCCTTACCATGTACCTGTTTGCATTTCTGAATCTCTTAGAAGGAATTTTGTTTTCCATGTGTTTATAAACCTGTAAAAATAAGCAAACATCTATTTTGAATGTCCTCAGCAAAAGGCAGCATTCAGATTATGTATATTTCCTTTTATTCCTGGAATTTTGAAACAGGCTCACAAAGTTCTGCCCTGCTGAGCATGTGCACGTTGAGAATCCATGTCTGGTGTTTGCATTACAGCATTGATTCATCACATTAAAGGAAAAGAAAAAAAGAGAAAGACAGCTTGGGGGAAGGAGGGAGGGAACGAAGGAAGGAAGGAAAGAAGGAAGGGGAGGAAAAATAGGAAAGGGAAGGAGGGAGAGAGAAGAAGAGAGAAGAAGAAGCCTTATTGCACCACCATTAACAAGAGATGTCTGAATGATGTATAAAGCATGGATGACCTGACTGTTTCCAGAAGCACATGTTTGGAGCACAAAATAAAAATTGGAAGCTCCTTAGCTGAAGGAAATTAAGTCTTTATTTTAAAATTTCTAAATTTGTTTAACACTCATTACCTACTGGACTTAATAATATTAAGGGATCACTTATGAGACTCAATAGCAGGCACCCATCCATTTCCTATTTTTATTTCCATATTTCAGTTAAACACTTTGCATGTAAGCTCTATAAATAACAGAGTCGGTACAATTTAGGTACCAGAAATGGATGCTTAATGTCCCATTAAATTAGAAACTGAAGCAATGTGATCTGGCCTGTGCTTTGCTGGCCAGAAATAAGCAGAATCCAGGGAGATTACAAACACATTTTGCTAGATACTGAAAGATTTGCCCATAGTTCTAAGAGGAAATATTGACATATATCGTCCAGAAATATATTGAATGTTAAATTAAAGCTGCCTGACTTCTCACATCAGCATAACAATAAGACTGCTCAAGAATGTTTCTGAAGTTTGTAGGTCTTAGATACTGAGACTACTGGGGAGCGATATGGTGGAAATAAAGAGAGCACACCTTCTGGATTTTTGAATCACTCAAAAATAGGTTTGATTTTCATCTGAGACTTTTACTAAATACCTTTGAGCTGAATGCCTTTGGGGAGGTCACTTACATTCTCTGAGTTTCAGGTTTTTCCTCTGTCAGATAGGCATAATAATGTCAGCCTCACAAATTGATCATTAGGATTGAATGGAAATAAAGCACTTAGCACAGAGCCTTAACCCTTAATACACCACACTCAATCATCACTCGTATTTCTTGCTTTGAAGGATGTCTTTACTTTTAATATTGCATAACTCTAAGACTCAACAAGCTGGAATACAGAGAAATATCCTGTCAAAGGCTATTTTGTTCCATAGTTTTTTTTTCTTGCATTAAAGTAATATTTACTGATTTGCCCCAATCTTTGAACTCAGAACTCATACTCCAGGTCCAGTTCTTATGCTAGGCAGGGACCATGGACTGAACAGCTGGCTCAGAATGAAGTAAAAAGCAAGCTGCCTTCTAACTCTGATACCCTATATTTGTTACTTGAGCCTTTGTGTAGGTAACCAGATATCCTTTGCTGAGTTTCTGACATCTTTTTGCCCAGAATCACTTCTTGATTTCCTGATTCCTGTATTTATAAAGATATTACCTCTTTCTTTCTGTGCCTACTTCCCATTAAAGAAGTTAGTAGGCTTGTAATCAATACACCCAGTCCTAGATAAAACTAGTCAGAAAGCAGAAAGAAAAAGGTGTCTTCCAGGTTTTGGTGTCTAAAAATACAAACTCATCCAGGTGACTCTGAGAGAACATTTTAATCAGAGAGTAGTAAATATTTTCTTTATTTCATCACATTGGAGATTTTTAAAAAGCAAGATTGTTGGAGGGGAGATTCCAAGAGAAAACCAGACCTGAAAGGGCCATGGCAACTGGAATGAGGAGCTGACTATAAGAAGCCACCACGAGAAGCATTGCTTGAACACCAAGATAGAAGTCAGAGCTGAATCATGAGCAGCAGATGATCACACTTCACTCAAGTATGCTCCATCCACTCCACCCAGCCAGGGGCATGATGCTAATTATCCTTCCCGTAGGCCTCCTCATCCTCATGCCAACACCTGAGCATGCATCTTCCCAGTAGAGATGACAACAGTCTCCACCAAGGCTTTTAGCACTCCCCATGAGAGTTTGTGCGAAACAATTGTATTAGTTTTCTGTGGCTTCTGTAACAGATTACCACAAACTCAGTGGCTTAAAACTGCACAAATGTATCTTGCAGCCCTGGAGGTCAGAAGTCCTAAAATCAAGGTAGGGCTGGATTCTCTCTGGAAGCACTAGAGAACTATCTGTTTCCTTGCCTTTTCCAGCTTCCAGAGGCCGCCCACCCACCCACTTTCCTTGGCTTATGGCCCCACATCACTTTGACCTCTGCTTCTGTCATCACCTGACTTTGACCCTCTGCCCTCCCTCTTATAAGGACCCATGTGATAACACTAAGCCCATGTGGATAGTCCAGGAAAATCTTCCCATCCCAAGATCCTTAATCATCTCAGCCAGGTTTCTTTTACCATTTAAGATAACAAATTCACAGATACTGGTGTGGATATCTTTGTGGGGTGGGCATCATTTAGCCTACTGCATCAATATCCCAAGATTATGTGAAACTAGATCTTTGTTTCTCTCATCTACTGCTTTGCTAGTTACCTCCTTGCATTTCTTTTGATTCTCAGCATCTGGCTTAGACTTTAGCTCTATCTTATGTTGGGCCACCATCCTGGGTAACTGTATTGCCACTTCAAAAATCCAACACTACGGCCCCTCCTTTCATTAGCATGCAGAGACCCAGGGATGTTTGTCTCCACTTCAGTCAGCCATCTTGTTATTCACACCACAGGCCTTGTCATTACCCCCAAAAACATCTCTAAATCAATTCACATGTGGTAACTGACTTTCTAAATCATAACCTTCATCCATCCATTTCTTTTTTACTCCTGATCCCATGATTCTCTGTTGTTTTACATCAGAGAGACCTCCACATTTATTTTTTATCCTTTCTCTTTTACTTATTTTTGTAGGTCTCATCTGGTCTTACTTACTTCTCTACTCTGTCAGAGCCTCATGGATATTCCATCCAACAACTCTCTCACCCACACCCTAAACTACAGAGTACCCTTGTGCTACTGCACCCATTTAGTACAACCCTCAGCTTTTTGAGATCAGCATTGCAGTACATCTCTATCCCACTCAGGCTACTGAGGGAATTTGCACACTCAGGCAGAGCCCACTCAATATTTTCCTTATTTTTTTCTTAGTCTTCTCCTACCTCTGATCCCCTCAAAAATAATTTTAAACTTTCACCACTGTCCTCAAAAATCTTCATCCAACCTAACCCTTTTCACTCTTGAAAGATGACAGTATGACCTCACTGATATATTTCAAACTCACCTTGCTCTACAGCAAGACTTCATCCATTGCCTAAACCACCTTCTTACCTCCAGATTCAGAGGACGGGAATTGTCTCTACTTATAGCTGAACAAAGCCTCCTCAGTGTGATCATGATACCAGTCCCTCTCATCTCTTCTAGGATTGTTCTCTACTAGTTATCCCTTATCTTTCCTATGTTTTCACCATTATCATCTCTACTGCTTCCTTTCTCTCCTCCTATAAATACACTGAAGTCTCATAAAAAATATTGAGTGGAAATGAGATGAAGTTTGAAGATGCTGATCTTGCTGTGCCTGCAGAACATTTAACTTGAGATATGCAGCAGGCTGCAGTTTAATAATTTTTAAAAATCTTTTCATTTTGAGTTCCACTGTGGCCACCACTTTTCTTACCTTTTCTTACATATTTTGATTTCATTTGTGTTCCCAGTCTTCCTTCAAACTATTACAATCTATTGGTTTCCCTTTTTTAAAAAAATGAGAGGATACTCTTCAGTCATTATCTTAGTGGATTTTTAAAAATTTTCTTTCACTTTATGGAAAACTCTTTGCTTTTTGGAAACTCTTTTCCTGTACTTCCTGTTACATCAGACTCTCCATTCTCTCTTATCTTATCCTTCTGATTATACTTTCTCAGTCTCCTTAATTGATGTTCCTTCATCTGACTGGAACATTACTGTTTGTACTCCCATTTGTGCCACTGACTCACGAATCACCACTTCCAGCCCTCCCTTGGTTTCAGGTCTTACTGAACAAATTCCTTCTAGATTTACATAGGTGGCTGTCCCATAGACACATGCCACTCAACAATCTAAACTTGAGCTCTCCATCTTTGCTTCCAAGTTTGCTTTTCCTCGTGTATTTTTTATCTCTATTCTAGGTACCACCATTCTTTTTATCCAAGGCAGACACTCTGGTGATATCTTGATCACTTTGATCAACTTTATTCTCCCTTCCCACTTAGAATTAATCATACACTTTCACTAATTTTATTATATACGTGTAGGTGTGTATTTAAACACATCAGCTCTATCTCTGGTGCTTTACTTCTACCATCACTGATTTATCAAGGCTCACCGCCTTGTGAGTCACTGTCACAGCCTTCTAACTGTTACACTTTGCAGAGGCTTTGACATCCTCCAATCCACTTACCACAGTGTAGAGAGAGTCATCTATCTAGAATACAAATCTGTCCTTGTCATTACAGATTTCAAATGTTTTCCTTGTCACGACAATCTCGCAAAAGCTATTTATCACCTAATAAAGGCTGATCTCCTTGGCATGACATCTGAAGGTTTCCCATGGCATAGCCATTACCTATCTCAGGAGATTCTTCTCTGCCACTCTTTGTTTTGTAATAAATCAAATTCCTTACACTTCCCCTAAGACACTATTTTGTTTCTTGTGTCGTGTCTTTCCTCTTCTATTTCTTCTGACTGGAATTTCTTTCACTTTTTACTGAAGCTAACTCTCAAAATAACAATGATATGAACATTGCAAACTTTTTCTTTTTAATTGCTGCTTTATGCCAGGCCCTGTGCTGCCTTCTTTACAGGGATTATATTTAATTTGCTATTATTAGGCTCATTTCACAGATAAGAACATTGAGCCTCACAGAAGTTAAGAAAATTGTCCAAGTTTTATAAGTGGAAAAGCTGAGTTTCAAACACAAGTTTGTCTGATGCTAAAGTCCATGTTGTTAAGCCCTGCACTAAGCAGACTATGTTCATTTCTGTGCTGTTTAGGAGCTTGTTCAAAACTCAGGCTTGATAAACTTTGCTCTAAATAGCAGATGGATGGAATATAGCATTTGTGCTGATAGGTAAGTGCTTTGCTGGTTCTTTCATGACTTCTAGCTGCAGGTGCACTATTTCATTGACCTGGTTGGAAAGAAGAGGTGGACTCAGTTCTATGCAATGGCTTATACACATTCTCTCCCTGCAGCTTTCACCCCGCTGTCATTGTCATCAAGGCTTCTTGAGACTAGAAGGTATCAAGGTCCTTTGTAAAGAATCAGTGCTAGGCTGCAGATGAATGGGCATTTCATAGTCATTACTTGTCCATATATGTCTCAAAATACATTAGCGCAAGGATCATTCAGATTGATAATAACCATTATCATATCATTTGTAGAAAAATATTTGATTTTTTTCTTAGTTAGTTTGTTTTATCTTTGGTTTTGCTTTGATTTTTGTCCTTTGGAGGAATACATCGATATTTTCCCAAGAGATTTAATACTTCATATATTTTTGTAAACATCTCATGGATATTGGAATAAAATAATTTATCTATTTTGGGTGTACTACAAAGCTGAACTATAACTAGATTGGTCCACTAAATAAAGTTTATATTTAGTGTTACTCAAATCCTCTTACCACCACTGTCCAATAAAAATATAGTGCAAATGACACATGTAACCTTAAAATTTCTAGTAACCACATTAAAAAGTAAAATTATTTTTAATAATGTATTTTATTTAATGACAAATACCCAGATATTCTTTTTTAATATTTTATCAATAGAAAAATTATTACTAGGTATATTGCATTCTTTTTTGTATTATCTTCAAAAATCCAGTGTGTTCTACACTTATAGCACATCTCAGTTTCAATTAACCACATATTAAGCACTCAATAGCCATGTGTCTAGTGTCTAGTGAATTAACCACATACTAAGTATTCAATAGCCATGTGTCCAGTGTGTATATTGGTACCATAATGGACGACATAGCTCTCTATTTATTTTGTTTTCTAAGTGATCTGTTGATTTCTGAGAGAGGCCTGTTAAATCTCCCATTATGGTTGTAGACTTTTGTCAGTTTTCATAACATTTTTTCTAATGCTTAATATAATTTGAAACCATGCTGAAAAATAAGAAGTTTATATTATATTTTCTATGTAGATTACACCTTTTATCCAGTTCAATTAATTTGGCCTTGAACTTTGTGTTTGATATTAATTTGCTACTCCTAGTTTCTGTGTTTTGCACGTGCCTATTATATCTTTCCACATCCCACACACTCCAGTTTTTCTGTTATGTTTAGGCATGCTTTTTATAAAAAGAATAAAATAACAATGTTTAATGTAACTTGAAGTTTTTTTGATCTGTGAATATTGCTGTGATTATTAAAACAATTAGAGTTACACTCATCATTTTATATTATAATTTTGATTTGCTTTCTTATTTTTGTTTCTTTTTCTTTGCTGGATGATTTTTTGTTCAATTTTTGTACCTACTTGCTTTGAAAGTTTGCTATTAGTTTCCTCTTTCTTAATGGTTACATTTAACATAAAAAAGTAAACATATTTTTCTATCTATATCTACAATTAGTGAGTGTCATCTCTCTCCACACACTTCTTATATCATTTCTTCATTTTATCCTATGTCTACCCTTCCACTCGGTCAATCTTTCCCCTCTTCACTTCTTATGTTAAGATCAGCTGGTATTTTATTTCCAGATTTTGTTTGTGTGTTTGTTTTTATATTATATATTAAAATTTATTTAGAAATATGTGTGATTTTACTGGTTTCATTGCTCACTACAATTTCTTGCTTCCCTTGCTGTTGCATTCCTTTACTATTTTGCTACAGTATATTTTTAAACAATTCTTCAGCAAAACTCTGTGGATGGTCAATTTTGCAAGCTATGTCTTTACTCTGCCCTCACATGTGGCTGGGTATAGAACCCTAAATTTAAACTCTCTTTTTATCAGTACCCCGAAACTATTCTTCTGTTGTCTCCTAGTGTCTCAGTCTATCGGGAATAGACACTAGAATACCCAGCAGGTATTACCTCTTGAGGTTAATCTCTTTCTGTTTCAATATCTGCAAGTTGACCAAGATGTCTGTCTGTCTATCTGTCTATCATCTATCTATCTATCATCTACCTATCTCTAATTTGTGTGTGTTTACCTCATTCATCCCACTTTGGTACTTGGTAAGACTTTTCAATCTGTGACTTTTTTCAGCTTTAAAAAATAACTATATATTAAAAGTGACTCCCCCTACCTTCATTTTCTAATGTCTATGCTATTGGAACTCCTTTTAGATGGATATTGAATCTCTGAAATAATTTTCTACCTCTCAGTTTTCTCTACATTCTTTTCCCATTCTATCTATTTGCATACCCTTATAGAACACTAACATTGCATATTTTCCAGAGGAAAAATTTTGTTTTTAGCCATGACTCCAGACCATATACATATTTGGAAATTATGTTTCTAATTTGCAAGCATGCTACCTTGGTCTTTGATAGTTTCCTTTTCATGGCAGTGCAGTATTACACTATGGCTACAATATATTTTTCATTCTGGGAAATAGAATTATTTGTAATTTCCTTGCTATTTGTTACATTATCTCTATTTCTTCTTTTATCAGTTCTGTTTATTGAATGAAATCCTTCCCTTTTATTCTGTTTTTACCTCTTCAACTGTCTGGTGATTCTTCTAGTCTATATGCATTAATTAATTTAGGACCTAGTTGGTTAGAAGAAGTCTGTGTTTATTTCCTCAGTGTTTGAGTAGGACTGTTTTCCCCATAGTTATCTTGCCCTTATATAGTAGCCTATGGGAAGGGCTTTGTATAAAGTGGAAGAAAGTCTGGCTCCATTCAAGGGAGAGCAAGCGTTGAGCACAAGGTCAAGTTTGGGATCCCTTCAACTTTCTAAGTAAGAAGGACTTTGCTCTCTATTGTAAAGAATTCTGGAGTACTTTTGCCTTGGATGAGGCTGTAGTTTTTAAATATAATCTCTCTCTGTCTGTTTAGACATCAGGGGTTACTGTGAGCTCTTTCAGGCTGCTATCTCAGCTCCTAATATTCAGAGTATGTCCTCTCAGTCAGTATGAGGATTAGTACTAAGGATAAATACTGCCCACAAGGAGTCCAACTTTCTTTTTGTTTAAAAAAACAGCTAATCAAATAACTAAGCTTACAGGACCCTTTGGTGTTATCTGTATTATTTGTTCTCAGAGTTGCACTGTTTTTCACAGAGCTTTGTTCCTATCCAATATCTTCATTTAATCATCTCAACAATCCAGTAATGTTAGTAGATCAAGAATTATTATTCACATTTTGTCAAAAGAACTGAAGTTCAAAGAGGTAAATAACTCATCCAAAGCTGTTGAGGTGGAAAAGGACCAGTTTTCAAATTCTTTGACCAGGGGTTTTTTTTTTTTTTTTTCCCACAAACTCTGGAGAAGCTAGAAAGAGCAGTATCTTACTTAAAATGCAATGTGATATAAACAGTTCTGACACCCTGTATTTGCTAAAGGAAAGAAATTGAATCTGAGTGATCTCTTCGCAGCTTTTATTTAGAAGATATAGCCTGGTTTGGAACAAGGTTGGAATACAAAGGAGGATGAAAGAAAGAGAAATGAGCTTCTAAATTGGAATCTCTCAGATTTCCAGAAATATGCATAATGACAATTTGCAAAGAACATAAAATTGCAAGCAATGTGTGTAGTTGCAATTTTAACTTCCAAGCATTTGTCAGTTTTAAAACACAGCTATTTCAATGACATATAAAGGACTGTCACTGTTCATGCATAAATTGATTTGCAGCTTTGATTTGGCTAAAGGTTTTCAGAAAAACACAAATGTTTCCAATTATACAGTTTGGTAAATTAAAGGAATTTTGAATATGTTTCTGAAGTATCTTGCCCATGCCAAACTAGATGGACCATTGAGGAAAAAAGAGTTGGGTTAATAATTACAGTAAAGATAGTTGGAATGTTATTTTTATAATTATGATCAGATATATAACAAAATTTACCATTTTAACCATTTTAAGTATACAATTCAGTGGCATTAATTGCGTCTGCAATGCTGTGCAACTATCACTGTTTATCTACTTTCAAAATTTCTCAATTATCTTAAACAGAAACTCTTTAATCATTAAGCAATAACTCCCATTCCCCTCCCTCCAGCCTTTGGTAATCTCTAATCTGCTTTCTGCCTCTAAATTTGCCTATTCAAGATACCTAATGTAAGTGGAATCATACAATATTAGTCTTTTTGTGTATGGCTTATTTCACTTAGCATAATGTTTTCAAGGTCTATACATGTTATGACATGTATCAGAACTTCATTCATTTTCATGATTGAATAATATACCATTGTATATATATTCCACACTTTGTTTATCCATTCATCTGTTGATTGATACTTTGTTCCCACCTTTTGTCTATTCTGACTACCTTCAATTAACCTTGGTGTACAAGTGTGTTTGAGTCTCCATTTTAAATTCTTTTGTGTATATACTTATGAGTGTAATTGTTCAGTCATATGGTAATTTTACGTTTAGCTTTTTGAGGGATCATCAAACCATTTTTCACCGAGGCTGCACCATTTTTCATTCCCACAAGAGATATACAGAATTCCAATTTCCTCCACATCTTCACCAATATTTGTTATTTTATTTCTTAAAAAATTATAGCCATCCTACCATGTGTAAAGTAGGTTTTGATTTGTATTTCCCCATTCACTAATGATGTTGAACATCATTTTATGTGTTTATTGGCCATTTATGCTTTTTATGTGCTTATTGGCCATTATGTCTTCTTTGGAGAAATGCCTACACAAGGTTGTTTGTCCATTTTTAAATTGGGTTACTTTTCTACTTGTTGCTGGATTTCAGGGTTTTTTTTTTAATATATTGTGGATACGAAACTCCTATCAGGTAAATGATTTGCAAATATTTTCTCCCCTTTTGTAGATTATCTTTTCACTTTCCTGATGATGTCCATTGATGCACAAAACTTTTTAAGTTTTTGAAGTACATTTTATTTACTTTTTCTTTTGTTACCTGTGCTTTTGGTGTTATATTTAAGAATCCATTGTCAAACCCAAGGTGATGAAGATTTATCCCTGTTTTCTTCTAAGACTTTTATGATTTTAGCTCTTATATTTAGTCACAGATCAATTTTAAGTTAGTTAGTTTTTGTATATGGTGAGAAGAAGGGGGTCCAACTTTTTTCTTTTGCAAGTGAAAATCCAGTGGTATCAAAGCAATTTGTTAAAGGGACTGTTCTTTCCCTCATTGAATGGACTTGACACTTGTGAAAATCAATTAGCCATAGATATTTAGATTTATTTCTGGTCTCTCAATTCTATTTCATTGGTCTATATTTCTATGCTCATTCCAATACTACACTGTTTTGAGTATAGTTGTAACATTTTTCATTGCAATTACAGAAATCCAATTCAAACCATTGGATTAAATCAAATGAATTTGCTGTTTTTGTGGGTCCAAATTAGGAAATATTGGCAATTTTATGTAATTTACCTAAATTGCTAAAGCAAAGAGGGAGAAAGACAATGAAATTTTCTGGCATCTAGCACTTATGACTGTTAGTTGCAATCGGATCATAGTCTCAAATGACTCTCACTCAGGTCTGCATGGTGTGGCTAGGACATGACTACAGACTACCCAAATTTATACCATTTAAGTTTAACAACACCAAAAAAAATGGAAAGCTCTCTCTTCTTACCAGTGAAGAGCTCATATTCATCTTGCTCAAACATGTGCTGACCTATGAACCAAACCCTGTGACCAGAAGGAGAGATCCCAATGATTATTAACACTAAGTTTGTGTGGTCAAATTTGTGACTGCTGGGTCAAGGTAGTATGTGATTAGAAATTTCTCCAGATTCAAGTGGAATGGGTATTGAGAAGGGAAAAGTTATCCCAAAAAGAAAGAAAGAAAATTATCCAGAAAAATATGGGAAACAATTGTTGGCAGAAAAAAAATAACTGAGGCCCATTACAAGTGGTCTTTGGGCCACCTTAGGTAATATAGCATAGCTTTGGGAGCTGGAAAACAGCAGGAGGTACTTGATGACATTTTTCAGAAAGTCAAATGGCATTTATTTGTTGACTGAACTCTATAATTCAGTTAAGCAGTGGTCAGTAATTGGAAGTTACTCCCTTTTTCACTCAGTGTAGCAAAGAGACAAATTTTTACCTTTGAGGGGATTACAATTTGATAGGATATTTAAGACTGACCACAAGAATCTATTATATCACAACACAAGGCAGTAGTGTGAATTATCCCTGGGAAATGAAGACCTCTCAACAGATGCCCTGAGAGGTGGGCCTCAGGAGGAACTAGGGCAGTTTATCAGAAAGTGTATAGTTGTGGAAGAAGGTAGCTCAAAACAAGTTTTGAAATGCATATACATATAGTAGTGTGAAAACTCCTTTCTACCACTTCTTTTTTTTTTATTATGCTTTAAGTTTTAGGGTACATGTGCACAACGTGCAGGTTAGTTACATATGTATACATGTGCCATGTTGGTGTGCTGCACCCATTAACTCGTCATTTAACATTAGGTATCTCTTCTAATGCTATCCCTTCCCCCTCCCCCCACCCCACAAGAAAATATCTTTTTACACATCCAGTCCCCATATATGGCGTGAGGAATCTGTAACAAGCACTCTTCCGCTTCCTGCAAAGACAAACTGACCCAGAAAAAGCTAATTGATAGCATTATTTGAACAACAAAGGAGAACCATTAAAATATAGTGTTTGTACATGTTGAATTTTGTGCTGTTGTTTTTTTGTACAAAACAAACCAGCCACATATAGGACATTAAAGGGTTCACCAACACTCAACAAATCTGAGGGCCTATTTTTCCTAAAGGCATGGTTAAATCCCATATATTTGCAGTATAGGCTCACACCACTTTGCTTCTGAGATAATTCATTATTTTTGAATTTAGAAAGGTTAAACTTACTGAGTGCCACTTAAGTTAGTAACGACCAACCTTTAAGGAGAGAATAGAGAGAGTAACAGTACACAAAACCTACCAAAGGGTCTTCTAAAATTTCACTAGACATTCAGACTCACAAGATTTTCATAGATCACACAGTAACAGTCAGAATAATATAGTTTAGGAAATGTAGTTTGTCAATAGGGCAGCATCAAACATTTGTCTTCTATAGGGATCACCAATTCTGTATAAACTCTCCAAATCTATGTCTAATCTCTGACTGCACTGCATGGGCAAATTTTAAGAAGCACATTTAAGTTTCAAAGGTTTGAACTGAAATTTGAACTAAAACACAACCAGAAAATGATCCTCAATCTCAAAATAAAAGATAATCAACCAAGACCATTTCTGATATAACACAAATGATGGGATTAGCAGTCACAGATTTTTAAAGCAGCTATTATAACTAAACTCAGCCATAAAGAAAACTATACTTATAATGAATGAAAAAATAGGAAATATTATCAAAAATATAAAAACTATTTACAACATAGCAAAAGGGGAATTTTAGATCTAAAAAAATAACATCTAAAATAAACATTTCACTGGATGGGCTTAACAGTGAAAGGGAGATGACGGGGGAAAAAGTCCATGAACTTGAAGATTGATCATAAAAGTTACCCAATACAAAGAACAGAGAGAAAGCATCAAAATAAAATAAACAAAATGAAGGTGACCTAAGGGACAATATAGAAGCTATACCTGACATTTAACTGGAGTTTCAGAAGGAGAAAAAAAAAGAATGGGGCAGAAAAATATTGGAAAAAATAATGAAAAACATTTCCTTAAATTTGGTGAAAGTCCTAAAGTTACAGATAGAAGATGCTCAAAAAATTCCAGTTTGTCAGTTAGGGTCCAGGCAGGAGACAGATATGACACCAGTAATTTGAAATGGGAAAACTTGCTATAAATAACTATTCATTTTAAGAAGGTGGTTAGCTACTAAAATGGGTAAAAATAAAAAAAAAAAAAGACTTGAGATAAGAAGGAGCAACTACTAAAGACTAAGGGGAAGTAAATTAGAAGGGAACTTGAAAGGAGACACCCCACTCCCACTCCCTACTACCAAAGGTTGAGATTCAGCCATCTAAGGAAATGATGCAGCTCCTATAAGAATATACAGACAGCTTACCAGTATCAAAGAAACTTGCTAAAAAACATGTACTGCATCAGATGGCAGTAGTAAGAAACTTGGTGGAGGGTGCAGGGCTCGAGTTCGATGATGAAAATCACAATTATAATGATGGAGAAACTTACCAGAAGGTAAAGTTTATAGCTGAAATACAGGAAAATACTACTGCTGGAAAGTTGAGAAGTTTTCCACAAGAAAGAACCACAGATAAGTGAAAGCTGCTGCTATGATGCCAGAGAAATGTACAGAAAGAGATGAGTTAAGCTGGACTGCAAAGGCTACCTTTCTCAATTCTACCAGACCCTACATGCCGATCTGCTTGCTGTTGCATAGAAAATAGCACAATCCAAGATTGAAGGAGAGCTTCTTCCTTCTTCTCTGGCCTTGTAGCAACCCTTCAGAATTCTCCATTAGCAAAACCTGAATATCATGCCATCCAGCAAAGGAGAAATGTCCAGAGCTTTAATATCACAAGGTAGGGCGAAGAAGAATTTTTAGCTGAGAAGCAATGAAGTGACTACTAACATAGCAGAACAAATAAAAAGAAAACCACTCCTGGCTCATTATTGCCACACTGCTGAAAGGCAAAGATAAAGAGATAACATTGAGAGCAATTGAATCAAAAAGACATATTACATATCAGGGAACAACTATTATAATTAGCATGGACTTCTCATCATAAATTACAAAGGCCAGAGTTAATTAAACAACATCTTTGAAATGCAGAATGAAAATACTGCAAACATGGAATTTCATATCCATGAAAACTATCCTTCAAAATTAAAGGTAAAAGAAAGACATTTTCAGACAAAATAACACACTTTGTCACCACCAAATCTGCACAATAGGGAATACTAAATGAAGTTCTTTAGGCTGAAGGGAAATGACATCAGACAAAAACTTTGATCTTAAATGCTAAAAATGGTAAATATATAATAAAATGTAAAAGACTATTTTTCTAATTATTTGTAAATACATATGACTGTTGTAAGCAAAAAATTATAACATTGTCTCATGGGATCGATCATGTGTATATGTAATATGTATGGTGATAAATAGTGAATGAAAGAATAGGAGTAGATGGTAAATGGACCTATCCAATTATGAGTTGTCTACATTTGTGTGTGTGTGTCTGTGTCTGTGTGTGTGTTTTTGAAATAGTACAATGTAAACTCCAGATTGGCTGTAAAATTTATATGTATATGATATGGTTTGACTGTGTCCCCACCCAAATCTCATCTTGAATTGTAGCTCCCAAAATCCTCACCTGTTGTATGAGGGACCCAGTGGGAGGTAATTGAATCATGGGGGCAGGTTTTTCCCATGCTATTCTCATAATAGTGAATATGTCTCATGAGATCTGATGGTTTTATAAAGGGCAGTTCCCCTGCACATGCTCTCTTGCCTGCTGCCATGTAAGATGTGCCTTTGCTCCTCCATTACCTTCCACCGTGATTGTGAGGCCTCCTCAGCCATGTGTAACTGTGAATCCATTAAACCTCTTTTTCTTTCTCTCTTTATTTATTATTTATTATTATTTTTTTTTATTTCTGTAGGTTATTGGGAAACAGGTAGTATTGGGTTACATGAGTAAGTTCTTTGGGGGTGATTTGTGAGATTTTGGCATACCCATCACCTGAGAAGTATACACTGCACCTAATTTGTGGTCTTTTATTCATCGTCCCCTTCCCACCCTTTTCCCCCTGAGCCCCCAAAGTCCACCATGGCTTTATTATGCCTTTGCATCCTCATAACTTAGCTCCCACATTTGAATGAGAACACATGATATTTGGTTTTCCATTGCTGAGTTATGTCACTTAGAATAATAGTCTCCAATCTCATTCAGGTTGCTGTGAATGCCATTAATTCATTTCTTTTTAGGGATGGGTAGTATTCCATTATATATATATATATATATATATATATACACACACACACACACACACACACACACACACATATCTCACAGTTTCTTTATCCACTCGCGTTGATTGATGGGCATTTGGGTTGGTTCCATGTTTTTGCAATTGCAAATTGTGCTGCTGTAAACATGCATGTGCAAGTGTCTTCTTCCATATAATGACTTCTTTTCCTCTGGACAGATACCTAGTAGTGGGATTGCTGGATCAAATGGCAGTACTACTTTTAGTTCTTTAAGGAATCTCCACACTGTTTTGCATAGTGGTTGTGCTAGTTTACATTCCCACCAGCAAGGTAGAAGTGTTCCCTGTTGACTGCATCCATGCCAGCACCTTTTATTTTTTTGATTTTTTGATTATGGCCATTCTTGCAGAAGTAAGGTGATATCACAATGCGGTTTTGATTTGCATTTCCCTGATTATTAGTGATGCTAAGCATTTTTTCATATGTTTGATGGCCATTTGTTGATCCTCTTTTGAGAATTATCTATTCATGTCATTAGTCCACTTTCTGATGGGATTGTTTGATTTTTCTTTCTAATTTGAGTTCATTGTGGATTCTGGATTAGTTTTTTGTCAGATGTGTAGATTGTGAAGATTTTCTCCCACTCTGTGGGTTGTGTGTTTACTCTGATGACTGTTTCTTTTGGCATGTAAAAGCTCTTTAGTTTTATTAAGTCACAGCTATTTATCTTTGTTTTTATTGCATTTGCTTTTGTGTTCTTGGTCACGAAATCCTTGTCTAAGCCAATGTCTAGAAGGGTTTTTCCAATGTTGTCTTCTAGAATTTTTATAGTTTCAGGTTGCAGATTTAAGTTCTTGATCCATCTTGAGTTGATTTTTGTATAAGGTGAGAGATGAGGATCCAGTTTCGTTCTCCTGCATGTGGCTTGCCAGTTATCCCAGCATCATTTGTTTAATAGGGTGTCCTTTCCCCACTTTATGTTTTTGTTTGCTCTGTCTGATCTTCTATCAAAGATCAGTTGGCTTTAAGTATTAGGGTTTATTTCTGGGTTCTCTATTCTGTTCTATTGGTCTATGTGCCTATTTTTATGCCAGTATCATGCTGTCTTTGTGACTATGGCCTTATAGTATAGTTTGAAATCAGGTAATGTGGTGCCTCCAGATTTGTTCTTTTTGCTTAGTCTTGCTTTGGCTATGCAGGCTCTTTTTTGGTTCCATATGAATTTTAGGATTGTTTTTTCTAATTCTGTGAAGAATGATGGTGGTATTCTGATGGGAATTGTATTGAATTTATAGATTGCTTTTAGTAGTATGGTCGTTTTCACAGCACTGATTCTACCTATCCATGAGTATGGGATGTGTTTCCATTTGTTTGTGTTGTCTATGATTTCTTTCAGCTGTGTTTTGTAGTTTTGTTTATAGAGGTCTTTCACCTCCTTGATTAGGTACATTCCTAAGTTATATATATATTTTTGCAGTTATTGTAAAAGTGGTTGAGTTCTTGATTTTCTCCTCAGCTTGGTCGCTGTTTGTGTAGAGAAGAGCTACTGATATGTGTACATTTATTTTTTTATCCAGAAACTTTATTGAAATTTTTTATCAGTTCTAGGAGCTTTCTGGAGAAGTCTTTAGGGTTTTCTAGGTAAACAATCATATCATCACCAGACAGAGACAGTTTGACTTCGTCTTTACCAATTTGGAAGCTCTTTATTTCTTTCTCTTGTCTGATTGCTCTGTCTAGGACTTCCAGTACTATGTTGAAAAGGAGTGGTGAGAGTGAGCATTTTTGTTTTGTTCCAGTTCTCAGAGGGAATGCTTTCAACTTTTCCCCATTCAGTATTATGTTGGCTGTGGGTTTGTTATTGATGACTTTTAATACATTGAAGTATGTCCCTTGTATGCCAATTTTGCTGAGATCTTTGATCATAAAGAGATGCTGGATTTTGTCTAACGCTTTTTACTGCGTCTATTGAGATGATCATATGAGTTTTGTTTTTGATTCTGTTTATGTGGTGTATCACATTTATTGTCTTGCAAATGTTAAAGCACCCCTGCATTCCTAGATAAAACCCACTTGATCATGGTGTATTATCTTTTTGATATGTTGTTGGATTTGGTTAGCTAGTATTTTGTTAAGAAACTTAGCATCTATCTTCATCAGTGATATTGGTATGTAGTTTTCTTTTTTGGTTATGTCCTTTCCTGGTTTTGGTATTAAGGTGATACTGGCTTCATAGAATGATGTAGGGAGGGTTCCCTCTTTCTCTGTCTTGTGGAATAGTGTCAATAGAATTGGTGCCACTTCTTTGAATGTCTGGCAGATTTTTGCTGTGAATCAATCTTGTCTTGGACTTTTTTTTGTTGGTAATTTTTTTATTACTATTTCAATCTCACTCCTTGTTATTGGTCTGTTCAGAGTATCTAATTCTTCCTCATTTAAGCTAGGAAGCCTGTATCTTCCCAGGAATTTATCCGTCTTCTCTAGGTTTTCTAGTTTATGCACATAAAGGTGTTCATAGTAGTCTTGAATGATCTTTTGTATTTCTGTGGTGTCAGTTGTAGTATCTCCCATTTTGTTTCTAATTGAGAATGTTTGGATTTTCTCTCTTCTTTTCTTGGTTAATCTTACTAATGGTTCATCAATTTTATTTATCTTTTCAAAGAATCAGCTTTTCGTTTCATTTATCTTTTGTATTTTTTTCATTTCAATTTCATTTAGTTCTGCTCTGATCTTGATTATTTCCCTTCTTCTTCTGGGTTTAGGTTTGGTTTGTTCTTGTTTTTCTAGTTCCTTGAGCTAGTGACCTTAGATTGTCTGTGCTTTTTCAGACTTTTTGATGTAGGCATTTAGGGCTATGAAATTTCCTCTTAGCACTGTCTTTGCTGTATCCCAGAGGTTTTGATATATTGTGTCACTATTGTCATTCAATTCAAAGGATTTTTAATTTCTATCTTGATTTCATTTTTGACCCAATGATCATTCAGGAGCAGGTTATTTAATTTCCATGTATTTGCATGGTTTTGAAGGTTCCTTTCGGAGTTGATTTCCAGTTTATTCCACTGTGGTCTGAGAGAGTGCTTGATATAATTTCAATTTTCTTGAATGTATTGAGGCTCATTGGGTGGCCTATCATATGGTCTGTCTTGGAGAGAGTTTCATGCACTGCTGAATAGAATGTATATTCTGTGGTTGTTGGGTAGAATGTTCTGTAAATACCTGTTAAGTCCATTTGTTCCAGGATATAGTTTAATCCATTGTTTCTTTGTTGACTTTCTGTCTTGATGACCTGTCTAGTGCTGTCAGTGGAGTATTGAAGTCCTCCATTATTTTTGTGTTGCTGTCTATCTTATTTCTTAGGTCTATTAGTAATTGTTTTAGAAATTTGGGAGCTCCAGTGTTAGGTGCATATATATTTAGGATTGTAATATTTTCCTGTTGGACAAGGCCTTTTATCATTTTATAATGACCCTCTTTGTCTTTTTTAACTGCTGTTGCTTTAAAGTTTTTTTTGTCTAATGTAAGAATAGCTCCCTCTGCTCGTTTTGGGGGTTTATTTGCATGAAATGTCTTTTTCCATCCATTTACCTTATTTGTGTCCTTATGTGTTAGGTGTGTCTCTTGAAGGCAGCAGATAGTTCATTGGTGAATTCTTACCCATTCTGCCATTCTATATCTTTTTAGTGGAGCATTTTGGCCATTTACATCCGATTTTAGTATTGAGATGGGAGGTACCATTCCATTTATTGTGCTATTTTTTGCCCGTATACTTTTTTATTGTATTTTTGTTTCTTAGGTTCTGTGAGATTTATGTTTTAAAGAGGTTATGTTTTGATGGGTTTCCAGGATTTGTTTCAAGATTTAGAGCTCCTTTTTGCAGTTCTTTAGAGCTCGCTTGGTAATGGTGAATTCTCTCAGCGTTTGTTTGTCTGAAAAAGACTGTATCTTTCCTTCACTTATGAAGCTTAGTTTTGCTGGTAATTGTTTTGTCTGAGGGGGCTGACGATAGAGCCCCAATCTCTTCTATCTTGTAGGGTTTCTGCTGAGAAATCGGATGTTAATTTGTAAGATTTTTCCTTATAGGTTACGTGGTGTTTTTTGCCTCACAGTGCTTAACAGTCTTTCCTTTGTCTTAACTGTAGATAACCTAATGACAGTGTACCTAGGCGATGATCTTTTTGTGATTAATTTCCCAGGTGTTCTTTGAGCTTCTCGTATTTGGATGTCTAGTTCTGTAGCAAGGCTGAGGAAGTTTTCCTTGATTATTCTTCCAAATATATTTTCCAAAGTTTTTGATTTTTCTTCTTCCTCAGGAACACCAATTATTCTTAGGTTTGGTTGTTTAAAATGATCCCAGACTTCTTGGAGGCTTTGTTCATATTTTCTTACTCGTTTTTTCCTTGTCTTTTGTTGGATTGGGTTAATTCAAAAATCTTGTCTTCAAGCTCTGAAGTTCTTTCTTCTGCTTGTTCCATTCTATTTCTGAGACTTTCCAGAGCATTTTGCAATTTTGTAAGTGCATCCATTTTTCCTGAAGTTTTGTTTTTTATGTATGCTATCTATTTTATTAAATATTTCTCCCTTCACTTCTTGTATCATTTTTTTTTTATTTCCTTACATTCGGCTTGGCCTTTCTCTGGTGCCTCCCTGGTTAGCTTAATAACTAACCTTCTGAATTCTTTTTCAGATAGATCCAGGATTTCTTCTTGGTTTTGATCCATTGCTGGAGAGCTAGTGTGATTTTTGGGGGGTATTAAAGAATGTTGTTTTGTCGTATTACCAGGGTTGGTTTTCTGGTTCCTTCACATTTGGGTAGGCTCTGTCAGAGGGAAGGTCTAGGACTCAAGGCTGTTGTTCAGTTTCTCTTGACCCATGGGGTGTTTCCTTTGAGGTAGTACTCTCCCTCTTTTCCTAGGGAAGTGGCTTCCTGAGAGTCAAGCTGTAGTGATTGTTATCGCTCTTCTGGATCTAATCACCCGGCAAGTCCACCAGGCTCTGGGCTGGTAGTTGGGGTTGTCTGCACAGAGTCCTGTGATGTGAACAATCTGTGGGTCTCTTAGTCATGGATACCAGGACCTGCTTCAGTGGAGGTGGCAGGGGGGTGAAATGGACTCTGTGAGGGTTCTTAGCTTTGGTTGATTAATGCATTATTTTTGTGCTGGTTGGCTTCCTGTTGGAAGGTGGTGCTTTCAAGAGAGCATCAGCTGTGGTAGTATGGAGTGGAACAGGTGGCAGGCCTAAACCTCTTTTTTTCTAAATAAATTACCCAGTCTTGAGTATTTCTTCATAGCAATATGAAAATGAATGGAGTGTATGTTGTAATCCCTTGAACAACCACTAAAAATAGTGGTTTAGCCAAAAAGCCAATAAAAAAATTATAATTAAAATATGATACATATTCAGTACTTAGGCAAGGAATGGAGATAAGAGAAAGAGAAAACAGAAGGGATAAATAAAAAAGTAATAAAATGGCAGACCTAAATCTTACCATACGAATGATTCATTAAATGTTAATGAATGAAGCACTTCCAGTTAAAGTGCAGAGATTATCAGGGGGATAAGAAAGCAAGACCCAATCAACTTAATGCTATCCTTAAGAGATGCACTTGAAATATAAAGACACAAATAACTTGAAAGTAAAGAGTTATAAAATATATATATATATATACCACAAAAACATAAAGCATTAAAAATGAGGGCATAAAACTACTAATAGAAAACATAGAGGAAATGCTTGATGACATTGGTCTGGGCAAGTATTTTTGGATAGTACTTCAAGGTCACAGGCAACAAAAGCAAAAATAGACAAATGGGATTACATCAAACTAAAAAGCTTCTGCACAGAAAAAGGAACAATCAACAGAGTAAAAAAAATCAACCTACAGAATTGGGAGAAAATATTTGCACACTATACATCTGACAAGGGATTAATATCCAAGATTTATAAGAAACTCAAACAATAGCAAAAGCAAATAACCCAGTTTAAAAGTGAGCAAAAGACTTGAATAAATATTTCTCAAAAGAAGATACACAAATGGCCAACAGGTATTGAAAAAATGTTAAACATCACTAATCATCAGGGAAATGCAAATCAAAACCACAATGAAATATCACCTCACCCCACTTAGAATGGTTATTATCCAAAATACAAAAGATAATAAGTGTTTGCAAGGATGTAGAGAAAAGGGAACCTTTACACACTATTGGTGAGAATTAAAAATTAGTGCAGCTATTATGGAAAACAGTTTGGAGGTTCCTAAAAAATTTAGAAATAAAACTACCATATGGTCTATAATCCCACTACTGAGTATATGTCCAAAAGAAAGGAAATCAGTATGCCAAAGATATATCTACACTCCAGTGTTTATTGCAGCATTATTTACAGTAGCTGAGATGTGGAATCAACCCAAATATCTACCAGTAGATGAATGGATAATGAAAATGTGGTATATATACACAATAGAATACTATTCAGCCACACAAAATAATAAAATCCTGCCATTTGTGACAATATGGATGAACCTAGAGGACATTATGTTAAGTGAAATAAGCCAGGCACAGAAAGATAATTACTGCATATTCTCTCTCATATGTGGAATCTAAAAAGTTGATCTCATCGAAGTAGAGAGTCAAATAGTGGTTACCAGAGGCTGGGATGGTTGGGAGGATATGGGAAGATGTTAGTCACAGGATGCATAATTACAGTTAGATGAGTTGGATGGGGGAATAAACTTTAAGGGGTCTATTGTACAATAAACTGATTATAGTTAATTACAATATATTGTATTCTTGAAAAATGTGAAGAGTGGATGTTAAATGCTCACCACAAAGTTGTAACTATGTGAGTAATGCATTTCTTTGCTAGCTAGGTTTACACATTCTACAATGTATATATACTTCAAAACACGATATGGTTTTATACATGATCAAAACATACAATGTTATCTGTCAATTAAAAAAAGAAAAGCTTGTTTACATGAAGCAAAAATTGAAAGAATTAAAAGGAAAAAGATAATTATATCACCATAGTTAGAGATTTCAATACTCCATTTGATAAAACAACTAGACAAAAACATCAGTAAAAACAGACAACTTGAACAACACTATCAGCTATCTTGATCTAAAAGTTAGGGAACAGTAGACCCAACATCTGCATTATAACACATTTATTTCAAAACCGCATGGTACATTCACCAAGATGAATCACAAGGAATAAAACAAATCTCATCATCAGAGGTTTGTGGTGAATGAGTGGGCGAGTGACTTTGATCAGGTAGATATGTTTCTGAAAACCCATTATGAGTGGAGCATTGTCTAGGAAATTACAAAGGAAGGTGATGACTCAGTTCTTCCCTCAAAGTTGGCATAATATAATGAGATTGGGCCAAGATAATGGTGGATACATAAGTGCCAGTGACCCAAAAATGAACTTGCCTGATCCACAGGAGCTTTATTCAGGACTGCATGCCACATATATGGAAGAAATATTTTTAGAAAACACATTAAAATTGTCTACAAGTCATTTATTTATGGTGCCAGAAATTGCAGTTAGCTGGATTTGTCTACTCCCTTTCAGGAAAATAGGAGCTTGATAATATTTATCTTCAAGGTTTCAGGTCTGAGGGCAGGCAAATTGTGAAAAATAGGAATGTTTTCTTCCTGTCTTTTACCCTCTGAGACCATGTGACCCAACAGAAATATAATGAAAACCACAAAGGCAAGCCACATATGCAATTTTAAATTTTCTAGTATCTACATTGAAGGAAATACAAAGAAACAAGAGAAATTGATTTTAGTAATACATTTTATTTAAGCTAATGTTTTAAAAAATATTACTTCAAAATGCAATAATTATAAAAGTTATAAATGAGATAATTGGCATTTTTATGTTGCCTTAATGAAATATGATGTCTGGGGGCAGGGGGTGTATGTTTTACAGTCCGTCTTAATTTGAACTAACCACATTCAAGTGCTCAAAAGTCACATGTGGTTAGTGTCTGCCATATTAGATAGCATGGCTCTAGTAAGTAGCAGAGAGAAAAAAAAACACTATTTATTTTTCTCTACTCCATCTTCTATGCTGTTAGAACCTACCTTTGAGCTAAGATGATCCATGCGCTCTCCACCCTCTAACAACACAGATGTTGCCGATTATACCAACAGGGCCAGGAAAGGAGCATAAACCCAGGTTAAGCCAGAGGAGATAGGAAGGGTCTTTTCACTGCCTTGGAGAGCCTCTGTCTTGATCTGTCCTGTCCTGTCACCATGTCAAGAACCCTTGTGTATGAATTGCAGAGAGTGTAAATTAAAATACATAAAAATTGTTAAAGCAATATAATTATCAAGAACATGGCTCTGGGAGTAAACAAACCTGTGTTTCAATGCTGGCTCTGCCACCACTAGCTTTAAGTCCCTGAAAAAGTGATCTAATTGCTCTCAGCTTCAGTTTCTTTATGTGTAAAATAGGAATTATAATAACTATTTTGTAAGATTGTTGTAAAATCCTACAGGGATATATTATACATATGTAAAATGCCCGGTGGAGTTCATAGCACACAGACACTCAATGATTGCCAATGCTGTTGTTTTGGTTGTTGCTAGTGCTCAGAGAAGAGAATTTGTTAACCAAGCACACTCCATAAAATGTATACCCTGGAGAATTTTTGTAAAATTTTTCTGACAGTGATATTAGCATAGCTGACATAGAAAATCTGACGTAATAACATTTCCAGTGATAATCTCAAAAATTATATCCAAATAAGAACAGACCTACACACATAGATATAGCTTATGTTAAAATCCTAACATTTTAAACTTGATATCAGAAAGTCCTTCCAATTATGCAAAACTTTTCACTTCTGTTTTAAATTTTAAGGTAATTCTCATAGTAACTTCCATACACTGCTGCAAATGGTACACAAACATTTCAAAAGAATTTTTAAATATGTTGCAAAGACATTATACAAAATTTAGCAGAAATGCTGCAAGTCATAGTGAAGACAAATCTTTCATGGAGAACTAAAATTGTACATAGCCAGAAATTTTAAATTTGAAAAACATATATATATATATATATATATATATATATATATATATATATATATATATATATATAAATTGAGTGCTCCGAGGGGGGAGAAGGTATTGTTAACAAATCCTTCTGAAAAATAAGTAAATTATTGAGATTAAGCAATAACTCAACAAATCAGAAGAAAATGATGAAATGGGAATGACAGAATGAGACTGGGAACAATTTCTTCAGTGTTATGAGATTAGAACTTGCTCAGCTATTACCATCTGTTGATTATAACACTGAGTTCTTGTTATTTCATAAAAAAAAAACATTTGCTCTGGGGAAAGGTTGAACCCCTAAGGCCTGGGGCTGAGGCAAGTTTAAATAGATTGCAAATATCTGCTTATAAGCTAAGTTCAGGCTGCAGTGAGGAACAGGCCAGGATTTCACACTTTTTGGTAGAAGTAACCCACAATTTGCCAGAGTGCATTGTTGGATGCTTAACATTAAAGTTTGTCTTAGTCCATTTTGTGCTACTATAACACAATATCTGAGACTGGATGATTTATGAAGAAGAGAAATGTATTTCTCACAGTTCTGGAGGATGAGAAATCAAAGATCAAGGTGCCGGCATCTGGTGAAGGCCTTCCAGCTGTGTGAATGAAGCAGAATGAAGAAGGGTAAAAGAGCAATTTCATGGTCATAAGCCCTTTTCATAGCAGACTTAATCCACACATGAACTAAACACTTCCCAAAAGGCCCACCTGTGAACACTGTAGTTGCATTGGGAATTAAGTTTCCAACACATGCATTTTGGGGACACATTCAGTCCATAGCAAAGCGTTAACTTATTAGAAATTTTAGCAGCTCTGAGATTTCTAGAGCCTGTAACATACTATGTTCATTGTGATTTTCCAAGATTCAAAAAATGTATTAGTGTTTCCCAAACATAGGCGACCACAATGCTCGTGTTTCTTGGAGCATTTAGAAAAGCAGGCTACTGTTTCATAGACACATTTTTGAGACTCATGGCTACTGTCAGATAAACAGACACAGCCTAAAGTCTGTCTCATAAAACTGCCTCATAATCCCCGCTCCACCTCTTCCCATACCAACACACATCAGATATAGTTTTATGATGAATTACATAAAAATTTACCAAATGATTTTTTCCTAAAATTTAGTTGCAATGCTTTTTATGACATATTTGCCATCTATTGTCATGTAACAAATCCTCAAAATTTCGCAGTTTAAAATGACAGACACTAATTATCTCACATTTTCTGTCAGTCAGGAATCTGGGCACCACTTAGTTGGGTGTTTCTGACTCAAGCTCTTTCATGAGCTATAGTCAAGATGTTAGGCAGAGCTGCAGTCTCATGTGGATGAGATGACTGAGGTCAGTTAATTTGTGTACAAGCTCATTCACATGGCTGTTGACAGGCCTTGGTCACTCACCCCATGGGCTACTCCATAGGACTGCCCTACAATATGGCAGCTGGCTTCCCCCAAGGCAAGTGACGCCAGAGCTGTGAGGGGGAGCACACTCTTCCATATTCTATTCATTAGAAGCAAGGCAATAATTCCAGCCACCCCAAAGAAGAAGAGATTGCCTAAGGCCAGGAACACTAGGAAGCAAGGATCATTGGGACTCCTCTCACAGGTTGCCTAATGCATTGTCCAAGGATTTCATGTAAATGCTTCCTTTTAGTCAATATCTAAATATGTCAAGCTCATTACTACATTATACACATTATCCCTAATTCTAACAATAACTCTACATAGATAACTATTATTGGTGTTTTTTTAGCAAAATAAGTGAGGATCTGAGAGTTTAAGTAACCCTCCAATGATCACATAGCTTATACGTAACAGGAACAAAACTTGAAATAACTTATCTGCCAACTAGTTCCATGACTTTTCAATCATGTCTCTACTATTTGAGATATGTGTCACTGAATTTATTATTCTAAAGGTATATTAGAATGCTGTACTTGTCAAGCACTGAAATGCAAAAGAAATCATAAAACTGAAAGTAACAAAATGTCAAAAAAGAAACTAAATATTTATATTATTCTGTTCACTGAAATCTTGCCTTCAGATGAAAATTCATTATTGATGGTGCTTTAATAAAGAGATATTTTAATTCAAATTCCTGAGCAATATAAATAAGCATTTTTTGAAGTAATAATTCTGCAAATAGAGCAATTTTATATTACCAGAATGTAACTGGACCCAGGTTTGGCTGTTTGCCACTTGAAAGCCAAACATGACAGGCAAGGGCTGGTGGGCAGAAAAGTGGGTTTAATTGGAGAGACAGCAAACCAAGAAGATGGTAATTTGACATTTTAAAGTACTGTCTTAAATTTTAAAATTTACCATAGGGTTTTTAAAGGGAAACTTGGCATGGGAGACATGAGGAGTTGTGCAGGGTGCAGGGTCTACGTGTCTTCATTCTGATGGTTATCTTGGGCAATCACCCATCAGGAAGTCTGGTCGGCATTATCTTGACTTTGGCCTGTTGGTGGTGGACTCATTGTTCACAACTTTCCCAAAGTAGGCGGATTCCACAACAGGGTTTCCGTGCCTAGGTTGTTGCAAGATTAGCCTCTGGGATTTCTTAGGCAAGAGTATAGTCAGGTAAGTATGCATTGCCAGAGGGGAGTGTTTAGAGAGGGAAGGAATGAAGAGGTGAGAGGGGAGGAAACGAAGAAAAATAATGTGGATAATTAAAAAATATTTTTTAAACTGAGGTTCCTGGTTATAAGAATATGACATAACAGAAAAAAGGAAAATGCCTGAAGATTCTGCTAATTTGAACAATATATATGCATATAGCTTAGTTTAAAAGCATATAATACATGAGATTCAGGGTCAAAATTCCTATGAAATATTTTTTGTCAGAGAATCGGGAATTCAATTTTCATTGGAATCAGTATAGAGCAGAAAAGAAACGTTGTGTTTATCCTATTAGCTGTTCTCTGTACTACGTCTGATTGTAAAGAACAGAAATAAATAAATACTATCCAGGAACAGAGAGTGAGTTGAAAGCATCAGGGAAATGTGTTTTTCTATGATCCCAGCTGGATTTCACCAGGGCTAAAATCGCATTCCATAAGGATGAGATCAGTGATGGGTGAGACAGAACATGTCTCCCAGCTTTCTACAGATTGTAATCTGATCTACATAGATTACAGCTATGTACTACAAATCTAAATTAACTCAAAGTTTTATGAAAAAAACAGACGTTGGGGTGGTGGAAGAATGAAGTGGCAGAGCATAGAGGATCTTTAGGGCAGTGAAAATACTCTGTATATTTTAATAATGGATATGGGTCATTGCACATTTGTCCAATACCATAGAATGTGTAACACCAAAAGTGCACTCTAATGTAAATTATGGGCATTGGGTGATTATATTATATTGCTTTAGGTTCATCACCAATAACAAATGTATCACTCTGGTGGGGTATGTTGATAATGAAGGAGGTTATGCATGTGTGGGGGCAGAGACTACATGGGAAATCTCTGTATATTCTCTATTTTGCTGTGAACCTAAAACTGCTTTAAAAATAGTCTTTGAAAATAATAATAATAATCAGGAAAGATGTGTCAGGAGTTGCAAAGAGAGTGAATATTATTTAGTTTAATTCCATTAAAAAAAATCCACACCTGACACAATTGATTTTCTTAATTAATTTTAGTTAATGATTTTAAAAGACACTAAATGCTACTGTAGACAAACTCAAGTTTTGGAAAAAGCCAAATCAAAACTAGTAAACAAATTAATTTTGATTTATTTACCCTTTACCCATCTCCCCATCACTCCTGCCACTCTTACAAACTGCTACTCTTATAAACTGCCACTCCCTTTATCCCAGCCACTCTTACAAACTGATGTCTGGGAACTTGCATTCTCTACTTCTTTCTGGTTCCAGCAAAAATCAACCTATTCTAAGGCCCATCTTCTCAGGCTTGCTCCCTGCTTGGACATTAAGAAGCACTTTTAAGCAAAGGAGGTCTCACTTGCTAATAGTATCATAGAAATGTTTTTCTGCTTGCACAATCCCTTGTAAAATAGACCTTAGTTATTTTGCAGTTGAGTAATGATATGGTTTGGTTCTGTGTCCCCACCCAAATCTCATCTCGAATTGTAATCTCCATAATCCCCATGTGTCAAGGGTGGGTCCTGGTGGGAGGTGATTGGATCATGGGGACAGTTTCCTCCAGGCTGTTCTCATGATAGTGAGTGAGTTCTCATGAGATCTGATGGTTTTATAAGTGTTTGACAGTTCCTCCCTCATGTGCTCTCTCACCTGCCACCATGTAAGATGTGTCTGCCTCCCCTTCAGCCATGACTATAAGCTTCCTGAGGCCTCCCAAGCCATGTGGAACTGTGAGTCAGTTAAACCTCTTTTCTTTGTAAATTACCCAGTCTTGAGCAGTTATTTATAGTATAGCAGTGTGAGAATGGACTCATACAAGTAAAGTAACATTTGGATAAATAATGGCAATCCACCCAAAATGTTCCCCTCAAAAGACTTGTACAGAAGCCAATGATTTGATAGTGAAACTTTTATCTGAGAATGAGGTACTCCGCCAGGGTAGCAAGAAGGGAAAGAGGGGAAAGGTAGTCAGGGACAAAGTCCTGACCAGGTTTAAAATAAGCAGTAATATTCTCTGTTCTAATTGTTGTTGATAGATGTCACGTAGATAGTATCACATTTATTACAAATTACATTGTAAAAATAATAGTTTCATTGCGGAAAAAGAGCTAAGAGCTAAGGATATATTAACTTTCAATGATAATTTGATTTTCCTAGAAAACATTTGAATAATATTTTTAAGACTACAAGGATACATTGTTATTTAAAGCTAAAGATAATAATGTGATGACAAAATTTGAGTAGAGCAAACCTAATTAAAATAAAAAAATTGGGATAGCACAAAATATTGGCAAAATGTGTTGATTTTCTAAATTATCAAAATAAACCGCACCACAGAACTCAACTTCCAATGTAAATTAAAGAAAACAATTCCAAGTGAGCAGCCGCCCCAAAATAAAGCAGCTTTCTGTTACTGTATCACACATATGCCACAGTATGACCCCATTGAGTGTTTAAATACATTATTAAAAAGGTTTCCTTTCTTGTCTGCTCCACTGAGAGAAGCTTAGAAAGTCCCCATGTCATCCTTGGGAAAGCTTCTTCTCATTGAGGCAAAAGATCCTTCCCTCCCAGAAAGGGGTGGAAATTTAAGAACTCTCTAGAGATTGAGTATTCTCACATTGTCAGGGCAATGAACGTAAAGAGACATTGGTGAGTTAATAAGATGAGCTACCCACCCTTGAGAGACAGTTCTTTACAAAGGGAAAAGGAGAGTGGTTTCAGTCCATAAGGGGCAGGTGCCTGACATACCTCTAATACTGCAGTCCTGATGTGGCTAACACTGCAGTGGAATGGCTGTTGCTGGGTCTGAAGGACTCAAGCACTAACAGCTGCGACCTGGAGAACCAAGATAAGAATACTTTTGGTGGTGCAAGGTGCTGAGGGATTGGAGTCATCTTGCCTCAAAGAGTTCTGACCACCTCACCTCACAGGATAGGATGAATTTCCAACCGTGATGCTTCAGGGCAGCCAGAAGTAGTGGCATTGGCCAGATTATATTTTAGGCCTTCCCTCTCCCATCCCACAATTGGATGGGGAAGTTGGATAGATCTCATTCCTCATGGATTCAATACATTTACTAGGTTTTTTGACCATTCAAAGGAAGGTGACATGAAAAAAAAGAGAGAGACTAGATCTGACACCATACTGTGGTATCAAAGCTTGAGTTTGATTTCATTTATAAAATAAAAGAAACATGACTGGAATTGAACGCTAGATATGTATAGCAATTAATAATATTGCAAATACAACCTTTTTTATACCTGCATTTTTCTATTTGCAGTATAATCTGAACAGCAATCATTTGTTAGGTTGATATATTCCACATGTAAAACATGTCTCCAATTCAGTTATCACATTTTAGCTAATTTGTATTATTAAAATGCCGTGAATGCCCTCCAGTCAAATATCCTCAGGAACACACTCATAGTTGAACAAGTTGGGTTTATTACTTGTTGCAGTGAGAATGTACACCATGGAAACATGGAGTGTCTCGGGAAGAGGGTGTTAGAAAGAATTTACTATAAGATTTGGGGTTGTGTTACGTGACAGGGAGGATTTAAAGATGTGAGGCTTTGCTCTGGATTACATCCTCTTAGAAAGTTAGGGTAATTTTAGTTATTTACCTTAATTAATCTTACCTAGAAGGAGGGATGCCTAGACCAAGACAAAGCAGTAATCGGTTAAAAGAAGAAAAAAAGCAGCAGTCACTTCTATTGTCAAGATAGAGAGATATTTGGTCATTTGTGTGGTTTGGATAGTGTTTGTATTTTGCTTTGTGTTCAGGCATGATTATAGAGTGGCCCTATTTTTGTCTTGATTGATCATGTTCACAGTAACTTTGTCTGATGTTGCTGTTCTGTGAAGTTGTTTAACCAGAGAACACCAAGACATAGCTGTAAATGCCAGGCAGCTCATAGTAACACAAAGGCCTAGATAAAAATGTCCAGACAGCTCCTTGAGGCTTTTGTTTGTCTCAACTCTGTATAAACAACATGCCAACTTCTAATCCCAAGTGTAAGAACTGGGTGATACATACAAGAGAAAATCAGGAGTCAGGAATGAGTAATGAGGTGAATATAGACTCTAAACAGGAGTTGTTAAAAAAAAAATAAGGGGATGGTGTTATGGGCTGAATTATGTCCCCCCAAAAAAAGATATGTTGAAGTTCTAACCTCCAGGATCTCTCAAAATATGACCTTATTTATAGGGTCACTGACAATATAATAAAGAAAGTTAAAATGGTAGACTGGAGGAACATGGGCTCCTAATTTAATAGGACTAGCATCCTTATAAGAAAATGGCCACTTGAAGACAGAGACACATGGAAAGGATGCCGTGTGATGATGAAAGCAGAGACTGGATTTAGGCAGCTGCAAGCCAAACCACCAAGGATTGCTGGCAATAGCAAAAGCTAGGAAAAGCAAGAAAGCATTTCCTCACAGGTTTCATAGCGTAGTTCTACCAACACCATGGTTTAAAACTTCTAGCCTCCAGAACTATGAGACAATAAAGTTCTTTTGTTTTAAGTCATCCAATGTGTGGTGCTGTGCTATAGCAGCTCTAGGAAACTGATAGAGATGGGCTGGAATAACTCCTGACAATAATATCATGTTTCATTGAATGAGACACTCTACTGAGTGACTGCAGGTCTAGCTGGTCTAAGACGTCAGAGTCAACAATGATCAAATTCTAAGATTTTGGAAAAAGTTGCCATTTCGACCTTTTGTGAACACACTCTTGGCTGGATGTTCCTCTCCTAGGTTTACTTGAATCATTTTCTTTAAGAAACTGCCTAATGAATATCAGGCTTAAGATTGGTTTCCATACTTGGAAAATCTGAGAACGGGAATAGGGAATAGGCAGAACTGAGAGTATAATGACATCTCTGCTTCCCTGTTCTCTCTCTCTAACTGACCTCCTCTGTGTGCAGACCGAAAGTACACCCAGACTTCCCTGCTCCCCTGGCTCATCAACCCATCACATCTGCTGGCAGAGACAACATCAGAATTCCTATCTAACTTAAATTCCTCTGCATCAAGCTAACCTCACTGCAGGTCCTGGTTGATTTTATGTCTATGTTACTACACCAGGTCTCCTGCCTCTTCCATTCATTTATGCTAGAATTTGTATCCCAAGTGATTTCTTCATAACTGAAGTTTCCTGTAACCCAGTAAAATGTCTCGTACATATACACTTGCAATAATGAATGCTCCCAAGCACTACCACTTCTTGGTAGTGATCCCCTGCCTTATGGGGAAAGCTACGCTCAGAGTAATCTAGTTCCAAGCTTCGGTCTCTCTAAATTGACCGTCCACACAGCTGACCAATTCCTGAATTTCGTATATTGAAAACAAGATGGTGGAACTAACATAAATTGAACTCATCTGTCTTTCCCCTTTTGAGGGGAAACTCATAAACATATATTTTGTTAAGCTGGAACTCTGAAAATAATATAAAGCCCACAGAGTTGGAACTTACTCGTGTGGTCTATTTGTATGAGTTTGAGTTGAATTCCTCACTTACTTATGCTCTCACTATAATAAACCATATGTAGTTCATTCAACATGCTGTAGGTGGTATTTCTATTTTGATTTTCCCTACATTCTTGTCCCCTTTCTTTTGGTAACAAATCTCACCCTATTTGCCAAATTGATGACACATGATGCAGGCTGGGCTAATTAGTATTATTCACTCCATGAATGTAGTTCAAAAGTTGGACTTTTGACCCAAAATGGAACAATAAATTTTTTTCATGGCATTTTTTTTAATTGGAGCCAATATGGAGAAACTTATTTTCTCTTTGATTGGAAAGCCATCATTATAGGAATCTGGGGCAGCTGGTGGCCAGATCCCCCACCCCATGGGGAAAGCTACTCTCAGAGAATGAAGCCAATAGATCTAGAGGAAGACAGACGATGGAGCATTCTGATGATGTTACAACCTGGGTCCAGTCATACTTTCCCTTCTTGAGTCTTGATTGCACAGTTTTTCTTTGAATTACATTAACAACTTCAGTAAATTTCTGCATTTGCATCCTATTGTTGCTGTTAAAATTGCCAAAAACTTAGTGGTTTAAAACACAAATTTATTACCTTACATTTCTAGAAGTCAGAAATCCAAAACAGGTGTCACTGGGCTAAAATCCAGGCGTCAGCAGGCTTGAGTTCCTTTCTGGAGGCTCTTGGGGAGAATCTGCTTTCCTATCATTTGCAGCTTCTGGAAGATTGCCAGCATTCCTTGGACCATGAACCCCTTCTATCTTCACAACCAACAACAGTGGTTGGTCGAGTCTCTAACAATTTCATCTCTCTGGTTGTGATGCTTCTGCTTCCTTCTCCTCCAAGTAAAAACTCTGGCAATTTTGCCAAATCCTCCTGGATGATCCAGGATCATGTCTTTATTTTAATTAAGGTCAATTGATTAGCAACTTTATTCCATTGACAACTTTAGTTCCCCTTTGCTGTGCAGCATAACATAGTCACAAGCTTAGGAAATTAGAACGTGGACATCTTGGTGTGGCCATTATTTTGTCTACCATGATTTCCAATAAAAAATCCCCTTTACTCAAATTAGCTTTTCTGATTGTCGTCACTTTCTATTAAGAAATATGAACAACAAAAATGCTGTGCCATCTTGTGCTTTTCCCCTGCCTATGATGTTATTCTTGAAATACCTTGAGTATGCCTAATAATTCTTAGGAACCTATTC
This sequence comes from Homo sapiens, assembly GCF_000001405.40. NCBI lineage: Eukaryota > Metazoa > Chordata > Mammalia > Primates > Hominidae > Homo > Homo sapiens. The sequence goes on along the minus strand of NC_000010.11, from coordinate 90,216,314 downwards.
AACTTAACTTCCTCACTTTGTATATTTTTTGGCTTCTCCAAGTAGAAAGAAAAATTCACTTTTTCTTCTAGTCATCACACAATGTTTGCATTCACCATGCTCTATTAAAATTATTACCTTATCAATGTATCTCTTTCAAGAGTCTATGATTTATTTCTTGTGACAGAGGCTATGGATTATTTCCACTATATCTCCAGTGTCCAACACATGAAAACTTACTTAGTTCTTAATTATGTTTGTTGATTAATGAATTTTCTGTGGTGTGGTACCTGGTATCCATTTAAGCCAGCATTTTTCTCATTTGATTAGAAAAAATAAAATTGCTTCAATATTAGACACTAGATTTGCAAATATTTTGTTATGCCCAGATAAATATTTTTATATATTCATTAAACAACCATTTCCCCCACTAAGACTTTGCCTTAGTGCACAATAAGATTAGTCTGTCTTATACTGGTGACTGTGCTACTGATCAAATGGCAAATGGCTAATCTGATCTAGTCATTTAAATGATTAAAAGAACTAGAAGGCATGCAGGGTTGCTAAGATAACAGCATCAGGCCACTTGGTGATCAATTCTGATTTAGTAATTAACCATTATGGTGGCCGAGAAAACCAAATTGACAAATATAGAACTCAACTGATTATGTTGAGGAGCAGAAATGAGGTTATAGGATAAAAGGCCAACTCTTTTCTGTTCTTGTCTCAGTTACAGGGGCATGAAAATGCTCCATAATGAAAACAACATGAAGACCTTTACATACAAATGCAAATAGACAAGTGTGTTCTGGACCAGTATAACTAAAACAAAATGAGTTGTGTCTTAAAGAATAGAAAAACTCCTGTATACATGGTAGATAAATATTAGCTGTAGCCACTTTGTGATAAATTCTGGTGAGTTTAATGCAATTCATCAAAATAAGCAATTGAAATAAATAATTTCAAACACACTTAAAAAAACGATAGTCTATTTCAATCATTAATAGTGGGCATCCTAGTTAGTGTTGACTTCAACAATTTAGAATACTAGCTACAGGATTATAAAACTTGGATCTGTTGTGACAGGGTGAGCGATATTTTAAAGGCAATTCTAAAAAAAATAACATATCTTCAAGGATCTAATACCCAGTGATCTGTCATGCCATCAAAAAATAAGTTTCAGTCATCTGGATGATTTATATTCCAGGAGTATTCTGGGTTAAAAAAAATAACTATTTTGTTGGGAGGCAAAACTATATTATTCTTGGAAGAGCTGCTCAAGGGCATGCAGGTGTCACTGGCTGCAGATCATCATGTGTGGCTGGGACCCTTTCCCAGAGCATAAAGAATAGAATTCCTATTCCCTCTGGCTCCAGAACATTGGGAGTGCACTGCACATAGATTTGGACCTTCTGTGAATGCCTAAGGGAGACAATCTATTCAAATACTATTTTTTCCAATGAATCTTTTTAGAGCCAACTCATAATTATTCATATCGTTAAAGAATGTAAGAATCCATTGTTTAAACAGTGCAGTCATTCTTTATGAAAAATTAGTTGAGGTGGAAGCAACAGGAAAGAAAAATATTCAATCATGTTACTATCATACTTATCTTAAAAACCAAGGCAAAGTCGGAGGGAGGGGATCTTGATCAGACAATTCCTCTAGTTTTAACAAGTGTGAACATTGTAATACTGCTGTGTACGGGGACTATATTTTATCCTCCATTACAAATAGCCCAAGGAAATGCTAGTTGATCACAAGATGAGACATTCCATTTAAAATTAGGTCAATATAAGCAAGTACTGCTGCCATGTTGAACTGCTCTAAGGATGGCATTGACAATGTAATCTACATGAATGGCCCTCCTTGCATTGTGCAATGCATGATCTGCACAGATGACCTTTAAGGAAATGCACAAATGCATGGTTTAAAATATGAAAAGACTGCCATCTAATAACCTTCAAATGATATATCACTATAAAATCCACTATATGTTATGTGTATATACATTTATGTCAATATATTTATGTATCCATATCTCTATGTCTATCTATATTTACTTGTATGTTTCTTCACCCACGTTTTACAAGTTGTGTATCCTTGGGCAACTTTTTGAACCTCTCCATGCTTTCATCTATAAAATGGGGATGATAATAAGAGTGTCAACCTCGTAGTAATCTAATTAATTTAGTTAACCTTGGTAAAGCACTAAGTAGGCATTGTATATCCATGTACACATTTCTGCTTATCTTTAGAGAAGAGCTCTGGAAGAATAATCAGGAAGTTTGTGTCCGTGTTCACCTCTGGGGAAGGGAATAGTGAAATGGAGTAAGGGATAGGAGGGAAAAATATGTTTCATTGTCTACACTTTTGTATTGTTTGAATTGTTCTCCTTTTGATCAATTTCTTCAAATGTTTTTCAAACATTAAGAAAACTAAGTCAAAAATCGATAAGGTATGCTTTTGGGGACCCCTTTGAAATGTGGTCCCCTTTCTCCCACTTGGCCTCTCACCCTCTCTACCTGCAGTCTGTGAGTCTACAGGCAGAACCAGAACTCTGGGCAGCCCTTCATCCATCCTTTTTACTTATCATGTTACCACAAATGATTGCAAAGCTCCTGTCCTATACCTTAGCCCCTCCAAGCCTAAGATGTCAGCTAATTAATGCAACAAACTGATCTATCCTGAAGCTTCAGAGGGAGGAAATTGGAGAGCTGTCCCAAGATTTCACATGGATATTTCATCCAGGGCTTCCTGGAAACAATGCTCCTAATTGTTTCATCTGACCTATTAATGTCCCAAATAACAAAGATTTCAGACAAGATCAGGCACGCTCAGGGTGGTATGGCCACAGACTAAAATAAAGATTTCAGGACAATAGCCCAATGAACAGAATCATTTGGCACTCTGAGCAAATGTTAGCGAATTACTGTTAGCTGTGCTGGAAAATCATTCAAACATATCTAATATGTTTTAAATGTTCAGCAGAGAAAAAAAAATGTCTCCTTTCTGAATAAGCTATGAAGGAGCACTTCTGCCAGAAGCTGCTTAAACAATTGCAGGACCTGCAGTCACAAAAATTCTATGGTACTGTAAAGACTCGTAGAACAGACAAGGCAGATAAGAATTTTGATTGAACAACCAACTGTAAGGTCCCTGAACAAGACTTGGAAGGAATTTGATTCTGACTGGAAAATACACATATTGCAGAGGCTGCTGACATGTTCTTTCTTGATGTGTTATAACCATGAGGATAAAAATAATTGGGAAGAAGAAGTAGCACCAATCAATGTATATATTTTATATGTATTATATTTAGTTATCATGATGATCTTTTAAAAAGATATCTTGTTTTCTACATGGGGAAACTTAAGTTTGAAAGAGCTGAAATCATCTTTTCCAAAGTCACACATTTAGTAAACGGTGTGGCTCTGAACACAAGTAATCTTATTCTAGAGCCCATTCTCTTGCCTACTAGTGAAGGACTTTAAGCTTGTGATGAACATGGAAATGTGCTACTTTGTTTCCTCTTTAAAGCATCTCCTTAAAGGAAAGTCTTCTACCCCAGTTGCTGAGTGTGCTGTACGTAAGCCACCTTCAACATCAGGCTTTCAGAAATTACCTTAGCTAAAGTGAGCAGCTTCACCCAAGGATGTGCCCTCTTTGGGTAAATCTACTCTACGACAGATGGAAGCAGGGTTATGAAGACCTAGCTATTTCTTCCCCAAAGAGGAAAACTGATGAGCTCTTTTATCTCTAAAGTATGATGCAGGGCCTGCATTACAGCTCAAACTGCCACTCTGCCCAATCAATCCTGCTTCCCCCACCTCACTTCCTGCCACAGGGGCTGATTCTCCTCAATAAACACCCTACATGCTAAGTACCAGCTATGATTCTGCTTCCTGAAGAACCCAATCTTCTGTAAGGCAATATGCTTAATCTCTCTGAAAAAGTAGCTCAGGATTGGCAATAAAGAAATTATTTTTCTACAGTAATAATCAGTGGCTGTTTTCTATGGTTCTCAAGTCAAACTATATAATTATCTGGGAGCTTCTGAACAATATAATTATTTGCAAGCTTTTAAGATATTGATGGCAGGGCCCCATTTCAGATTATTTGAATCATACTCTCTGGTGGAATCACTGAATTCCTTGAAACGTCTACATGCACTTATGCAATATTCAAAAGTACTGTAGCCCATAGTAGAGACAGCTAACTGTGCATTAAAAATTCATGTTTTCAGGACCGGGCGCGGTGGCTCACGCCTGTAATCCCGGCACTTTGGGAGGCCGAGGCAGGCGGATCACGATGTCAGGTGATCGAGACCATCCTGGCTAACACAGTGAAACCCCGTCTCTACTAAAAATACAAAAAACATTAGCCGGGCGTGGTAGCAGGCCCCTGTAGTCCCAGCTACCTGGGAGGCTGAGGCAGAATGGCGTGAACCCAGGAGGTGGAGCTTGCAGTGAGCCGAAATCGCGTCACAGCACTCCAGCCTGGGCGACAGAGTGAGACTCCCTCTCAAAAAAAAAAAAAAAAAAAAAAAAAATCATGTGCTCCTGTCATGCAAAATAACTGCCCAGCCAGTAACTACATTTCTCAGATTTGGTTGTATCTAAATAGGCCATGAGACGAATGATCATCAATGGAATGGGAGCAGAAGTGATGTATGTGTCTTCTGGTTGAAGGTGATTAAGGTGTCAATGTGCCTTTTCCATTCATTCTTCCTTCAGGATGGTTAGATGAAGAAGCACCTAAACCTCTAAAGCAGCGATCACTAACCCCAGATCACAAACCGCTACCAGTCCATGGCCTGTTAGGAACTGGCCTGCACAGCAGGAGGTGAGCTGTGGGTGCATGAGAGAAGCTTCATCTGTATTTACAGCCTGTTTCTATCACTCTCATTACCACCTGAGCTCCACCTCCTGTCAGATCAGTGACGGGCATTATATTCTCATAGGAATGCAAACTGTATTGTGAACTGTATGTGAGGGATTTAGGTTGTGTGCTTCTTACGAGAATCTAATGCCTGATGATCTGTCACTGTGTCCCATCACCCCCAGATGGGACCATTTAGTTGCAGGAAAACAAGCGAAGGGCTCCCACTGATTCTACACTCCCACTGATTCTACATTATGGTGAGTTGTATAATTATTTCATTATATATTACAATGTAATAATAATAGAAATAAAGTGCACAATAAATGTAATGTGCTTGAATCATCCCGAAACCATCCCTTGCCCCTGGTCCATGGAAAAATTGTCTTCCACGAAACCAGTCCCTGGTGCCAAAAAGCTCAGGGACTGCTGCTCTAGAGGATGGAAAAGGGATAAGATAGAGCTCCAATTCCTGAAGCACTGCATGAGGGAAAGTGAATTCCCATCCAAAATACTTTCACTGGACAGATATATGGGGGAGAAATCACTTCTATTATGTTAAGCCACTTTACTTCAGGGAATTAGGTTATAGGAACTAGCATTACTCTAACACATGAAGCACCAAGTTTTGATCCCAGTATTAAGTTGCCTCTTGGCACCTAGGCTACTACAAGTATATACTGTCAGTCTTGAAAATGATATGGAATCTCAAGTATGTTCTATGTAACATTATTTCTGCAAATGTTTTGAGAAAAAAGGGAATTCTATATACAAATAAATTTGGGCAACGTTGTATAACCACAGTAGTATATTAACCTGTCTGAGAAACTGCAGTTTAATTTTGTTTAATATGGAATTCCCATAGAACAGATCTACTTTATAAAATTCCAAATTAGACTTTCAAACTTTTAGACTTTCAAGCCAGATTTTTTTCCAGTGATGGCCACATAACGGTTTCCTGCAAAATCTGCCAAGATTTGCTTTTCCATCAGAATAATATAGGAAATCAAATTTTTATTCTATGTTGACTAATTTCCAATTACTTTTAACTTTATATATTTAAAATATTGTTTACTATAAAGAATACCAAATAGATAAAATACTGAAGTGTACAATATAATAAGCTCTAGTTTCTACAATTGCAACTCTTGGGCAATCTCATTTTATGTATTTCTCTACCTATTTTATCCAAACCATCAGGTTATCCTGAAGAAAATATCAAATATTATTTTACTTGTAAAAGTTTTAGCAAGAATCTCTAAAATTCTTATAAATCTGTAAGACTGTTTTAGTCAGATTTATTGATGTATAATTCACATGCTGTAAAATTTGCCCTTTTGATGTTCAGTTCCATCTTTTGAGCCATGTATACATCATGTAAACATCATTCAAATTAGGACATACAACATTTCCATCATCCCCAAAAAATTCCCTTATGCCCCTTAGTACTCAATCTTCCTCCTGCTCCAGGACAACTCATCTGTTTTCTCTTCCAGTAGTTTGGCCTTTCTAGAATGCCACGTGAATAGAATCATACAGTAGTCTTTTGAATCTGGCTTCTTTCACCTAGCACAATGCTTTTGAGCTTCATTCATGCTGTTGCATCTATCAATAGCTTATCCGTTTTAATTGTTGTGTGGGAATACAGTTTTATGGATGTGTCACAGTTTGGATATTTATCAGTTGAAGAACTGGATTGTTTTTAGTTTTTGGTAATTACAAAAAAGACCCATTATAAACATTTGTATTTGATGTTTTGTATGAACATAATTTTCAATGATCTTGGGTAAATACCAAAGAGCGGGATTGACAGGTCTTACGATAAGTGTGTGTTTAACTTTCTAAGGAACTAACTAACTCTTTTCTGAAGTGGACGGATCGTTTTTTTGCCTTCAACTAGTAATGTAAGAGAGCTCCAGGACAGTTTTTAAAGACAAGACCACAAAGTCATTATTACATATAAAATTAATTTATGATATTTAATTATTTGTTTATTCGTGCTCATGTTTTTCTGTTTTCCTTTGCTTTTTTTTTTTTTTTTTTGACATTTTCTCTGCTTTCTTTGAGCTTAATCTTTTATCTATCTGATTTGGATGTTTAATTCATGTATTGGCATTTCTCATCTTTGTAAGTATTTAAGGGTTTGAGTTTTCTGTAACCACTTCTTTTATCATGTATAATAACCTTATAGGGGTGCTGGGTCATTTTGTTATTGGTGTCTTTGTTTATGTTGGATTTTCCTAGACCAGCAGTAATGTCAGAGATTGGCTATTATACTTAATGTCTTGGTTTAAGAGTGCCTTCTTCTATGGCTGCAGTGATGCTCAGTTTCTTTAAGAATTTGTCTGTGTGTGTGTGTGTTTTTCTGAATCACTGTTTTGTTTTGTTTTTTCATAGGATATCGTGGCTCTTATCTTCAGCAGCTTTCTTTCCCTTTACTTCCAAGCCACACAGAGACATTTCCATGTTCCATGATACATTCTTTTCCCCCAGAAATGATGCCTTCCCATGAGAGCCACCACAGTTGCTGCTCACTTTCTAAACCTCTTTCCTCAGACTCACCAGTTGCCAGGGCTCTTATCTGCCAGGTTACTGAAACTCCACATCATATTTACCTACTCAGGGAGGGACTCAGTCCTTTTGGGGATGAACTTCGATTGATAAAATCAGTGTCACACTGACACTAAGACTCCACTGCCCTCTCTTCAGTTCCACCCAATTTCCTGATTCTAAGCTCTTCTTAAATTCTTGAGCAGAATCCATCTACATGTAAATTAAGTTTTTGGTAAGTTTTCTCCTACTAAAGTTGAAATTATGAGCTATGAGAAATTTTATTCCTTTTTTGTATCCTATATTCATTTTAGAAAGACAGGTGCAAATTTAGGCAGTCTATATTACCCTCTACAAAGCCTAGAAGTCTCTTTCCAGCTTGTGTTTAACCCCATGAACCCCATGCAAGGACTGTGCTTGCTTTATTCACTAAAATATGCTCTGTGCCTAGCACCATGCTTAGCTTATGGTCGTTGTAGTAGAAATAATGCAACATAGATAAGAAAAATTGAGAAGATCAAATTGATTTAGCCCAATACACACAGTTGCTAAATAACTGAAATTCAAATGCAGGCACAATTCCTCCCCTAGGCTGGCAATATTATTTGTTGAATTAATGAATGAATGAGTGATACCTTTTAAACTGAGAAGACATTTCTTGTAATACTATCTGGTAGTAAAGTTATTCAGTGTGTGTCCTGGTGCATTTGAAATCCTAGAAGCCAAAATCTTTAAGACATGCTCTCCTAAACATCAAAATAGGCCAGGATTGAAGAAGGGCAATAGTCCAAAAAGAATCCTCAACGTGTGAAAGCCACATATGACCTTGGAGATATTTGCTTAACATTGTGACATTTGGAAACCTAGCTACACCAACAGTAGGTAGAAAAATACCTATACTGAAACCACTCATAGGAGCTCAACTAACTGCTTGGACCACAGTCTCTACCAATTTCTTCTCGGCTTCACACCAGGATAGGTAATCATGAAAAGCAGCACCTCCATGGGAGAATTCTGAGAAAACATTCCTAGGTCTTAGAACAGTAATCTGTGAAAAAATATTGGAAAATGACTGAAGTAGAAACGATGTAAATTGTGGTTCTAAACACAAATTTCTATGAAGTGCCAATTATTTCTTAGATTTCACTTTACACAGAAATTCAGCCACAGTTCAGTACCTCTCTGACAGTTCCAAAGTTGTTTTGGATGAAACATTTTACATGCAGACAGAAGGACTTAAAAATAAAATTCTGAAACTATGTCATTTTTTAAGAAACAACCAACAGATTACTAAGTATATTTGCTAAAAGTTGAAAAGTCTGTACCTATGCCTCACCTCATGAAGAGTTGGCTACTACTAAGCTTGAGAGTCCATCCAAAAGGGAGATTTTAATTATAGTCAGTGGACAATTCAGTTATAAGAAAATATGAGAGGGTAAAAAGATAGCCACATATTCAGCTGAAGATGAGTTAAGGAGAACTGGGCAGCCACCTACTATTTCTCCTGATAATAAATAATAAGATATGTTAAGAAGATTATATATCTAGTATTGTTAAGATAAAAAATATTCATGGAAATCAATAAGACAAATATTAAATTGGCAACTGACATAAGGAGATAATTCAAAAATCATGCACTATCATGAGTAATCTCAGATTTTTAGGCAAATTTCCATATCACGAATAAACGCAAAATCAAATAAAGTGATGAATGTATATATTTACTAATAAATATGTAGTTAGATATTCTATATTAACAGAGAATATTTTAAAGGTTTTTTAAATTAGCAATATACAAAGATAAATCCCATAATAGGCCATGTGGAACCATCATTTTCAGGTATTGCTGGGGATAGCAATTTGGCAATGTAGTATACTATTTCTTATAAACATCTTTTCTATTTGTCCTAGTAATTCCAATTCTGTGGATTTGTCCCAACAAAATAAATCAAAGGATGTAAAAATATGTAACAGAGAAGTTAACAGGGTCATTATTTACAACAGCAAAAAAGCTAATGTCATGAAAGAAATAAATAAGTAAACTATGGTACATTCACATAATTAAATAATTTACAGTCCTTGAAAATAATATTTATGAAGTAATTTAAATATAACATTAGAAAATCCAATTATGTTAAATAAACAAATAAAACATATATAGAAAAAAAGAGTGAATATAAATACAGAAAAATTATTAGTTGTTTGTTGGATTAGAACAATGTATGTTTTTCTTTCTGTCCAAATTTCTGTACTTCTAACTTTCTATAAAAAACTCTACTACTATTATGATTGGGAAAAAGCAAAATTAATTTTTAATGCTGCATCTATTATCGCTCTAAAATTGCTTAAAGAGAAATACAAACGCAACATAAAGGCAAAATCGTATACATTGTTTTTCCAAATCCTGAACTCTTGCTTGTCTTTTTTGCTTGTCTCCAGCGGCAGAATCACTGCTGATACTCAGATAATTGGCCATCATCTGATCACTGCCTTTGTGGTTGGAGACCACTCTATTAGTAGCTGGGCTGTGACTGGTTAGTTCCATCAATCTGATCAAAACCACAGTTGGATCTCCACATAAGCTTATCTATTTGGTTCTTTTCCCTAATGACCAGTTCTGCAGCTCTAATGAGGGATCAGGCAGAAGATTATCAGCTACCATTACTGCCACCACTACCCCATACATTACCTTGTGGATCGGATGCCATTTCATAAAGAAATTAAAGTGTAAAGATATTAAATAATCTTCTTAACATACATAGTAGCATATCTGAGACATGAACTATATCCATTGATTCTGAAGACCTTATTCTTAATCTCTAGATGAATGTAATCAATCTTAAACTGTAATCGTTGTCATATATTGAGTCCATATTATGGAAGACAGTGCTCTGTGCTTTATCTAAATTATCTCAATTAATCTTTGCAACAACCCTGGAGATATTCTGTATCCTCTTCCTTAGATGAATGTTGGCCAGTAATGAAGAAACAAACAAATCCTAAAATTTCAAGGCCTTAACACAAACCAGGTTTGTTATCTCACAGTCTAGTGTCGGTCCCAATTGGGTCAAGTGACTCTCCTGTGCCACTCTTCTACAGAGGGTGATTCAGGGATCTCTACTTCTGCCATCTAGCACCCCCAGTTCTGCAGGAGAGAAGACAATGAGCTGAAGATCTCAGGGCAGATTTTAGGAGCCATTAAGTGTTCATATCCCATTAGTCAGAACTTCTCACACAGCCTCTCCCTAATCGTAAGTGGGGTGAGTGAATATGGAGATGCATGTAAATGTTTCTTGGATATTTGGTGAGCAGAAAACAAATGCTGCCACAAAAACTGAGATTCAGAGAAATGATGTGACTCACTAGGTCGCAAAGCTAATAAACAGTAGAGCCCATATCTCTAGCCATCACCATCTGAGATCTAGGTGATCTGAGGTCCTTAGCCTCCAGCCACACAGCCTGAATAGATACTGGGCTAGATATAAATTTCAGAATGTTAGCCCACAAAGGCCGTTGTTTTCAAACTAACTCCAGATCCCTGCCAAGTATCTCAGTTTGACTGTGTCCTCTCTCTTTCTCCATTCAAATACTATGGTACCTTGTTTCCAAATATCCATCCCCTTCCACATAAGAAGTATATAACACTAACCCCCCTGAACATGAGTTGCAGAGCTTCTGTGTTAGTGGCTAAAATTTTCTCAGACTAGTAGAAGACTTGGTCATGTTAAAAGAGCAACTTTGGCCAAATTAAATTTAAGAGTTTAATTGTGCAAAGAATGATTCACCAATTGGGCAGCCTCCCAAGCCAGAGTAGGCTCAGAGGCTCCAGGGCAACCACATGGTGGAACAAGATTTATGGACAGAAAGATGAAAGTGATATATAGAAAATAGAAGTGAGGTACAGAAAACAGAAGTGAGGTACAGAAATAGCCAGATTGGTTACAGCTTGGTATTTGCCTTATTTGAACATGGTTTGAACGGTTGGCCCCTTTGGTGAAAACTCAATGATTGGCACAAGAGTAGGCTACAATCTGTTTACACTTCCATTTGGGCTATAGTTCACGATGTACAGAGGAACCTTTAGGCTGAATTTGAAAATATGTAAGGAGGCAGCTTTGCATTAAACTTGATTTAACAGTCATATGACTTGCTTTGGTCAATGGAATGTAAGCAGTTGTGACATATGCCATACCTGAGGAGAATATTTAAAGATGGTTTTGCGTTTACATACTGCCTCTTGTATATCCTTTCCCACAAGAATGCTTTGTTCCAAATAGGGGCTTCTTAGGCTTGGATCTTGAAGTACAGACCTGTTGAAGCAGAGCTGTAGTTCACTGGCAGCTCACATGAAATGTGCAGGAGAAATAATTTTTATGGTTGGAAACCACTGAGATTTGGAGGTCATTAGTTACCACGGCAAATTACTTCTCATTTTTCCACAGCTGATAGCTCTTTCTCAGGCATCTCAACCAGCATTTGAGCCTCGGGCTATACTCTTGAGAATTTGAAATACCAATTATTTGCCAATTCTTTAGGAGGATGATTTATTGGATGATGATGACGTCAGCCAGATTTGATTATTCCTTAACAAACCTGAAATCCTGTTGATTACATCTTAATTAAATACTTTCCCTGTATATAATTGCTTGATTAAATTCTCAGAGTTGTATCATGGCTTACTATATTTATCTTGCAATTTCTCAAGATTTGATCATCTATTGAAGTATCATCCCCCATTCCTTGTTCATATACTCTGCCATTCTCATATTAGAAATTTTGATTCCAAGAATATCTTCCACAATGCATCCTCACTTGTAGTTCAAGGCATGCAAGTAAGCAAAATCTTATGTTCATTTTATAAAGGGAAGCCAGGTAATTTTAGCCCAGCCAGCTCTGCATTTGCACAATCTGCATTTTACTTTTATGAAAAGAAAATAAGTGAGCAGGAAACATGTTAATAGTGGGTATTAATTTTATAAAGCATCTTCTAGGGCACAAACTCAGGTAACTAAAGAATCAATGTAAATAGTTTATCTACTATCTTTTTTATAGTGCCTAGGGAAAGCTGTTATTTAAACTGATTAGGTTCTATGCATTTTGATGTCAATAAAAATAGTACATTCATTTGTTTATTAAAAAATGTTTAGAATGACTTCTATATCACTGTGCTAGACATTAGGGCTATAACAGAGAGGAAGACTTACACACCACCATGAAGGCCCTTACAGATTTTGGAATATAGATTGGGAAACAGAAAATTCAAGGCCAAAATGTACGTGCTGGGATAAGTAGCGTATAGGCTGCTATAGGATCACGAAGGAGATGTATCAGTTGAGTTGGAGCTCAGAGAGGTGTGAGAAAGGAAGGAAGTGTTCCTGGACGACCCCATCGTGGTACTGCAACCTGAAGCATGATCATGAATTAGTTGTGTAGATAGAAAGTGTAGAACAGAAAAACAATGACCCCATAAGGGGCAGCAAGTGCAGAGGCTTGGAGGCAAGGAAGTACATAGATTCTTCTGGGATCTGAAAGTCATTATTCTAATTAGAGAGCAGACTGAAGGTGAAAAGACGGGTATGTGGATGATGGGGTGGAAACATAGAGGGGACAAATTATATATGACACTGAAAATTAAGAATGGTCCAGACCATACTTAATGAATTTTGAACTTTATCCTGCAAGAAATAGAAAAGCATTGGTATGTTTTAAGCAGAGAAATAAATATATGAGATGAGATTTTATTTTCAATAATCACTCAGATTTCAGAAGGAAGAATGAATTAGAGACAATCCTGGTGACTGGGTAGAAAAATGATGCATTAAGCTAGTCAAGAGACAAGAGTGACTGAAACCACAGTAATGACATCAGGGATGGAGAGAAGCAGGGCTGATTCCACATATATTCCAAAGATAAATTTTTACAGGCCTTGGTACCCAAATAATCAATAAGGTACTAGATGGAGTTTGAGCTATGTGAAGATTCTGAATTTCATTGTGCCTGTAAAAGAAAAGGTTAAATTATGTTTATTTTATTTTATTTTATTTTAAGTTCTGGGATACATTTGCAGGACATGCAGGTTTGTTACATAGGTAAATGTGGTGGTATGCTGAACCTATCAATCCGTCACCTAGGTATTAAGTCCTACATATATTAGCTATTCATCCTGATGGTCTCCCTGCCTGTCCCCCACCACACACAGGCCCCATTGTGTGTTGTTCCCCTCTCTATGTCTATGTGTTCTCATTGTTCAGCTCCTACTTATAAGTGAGAACATGCAGTGTTTGGTTTCCTGTTCCTGTGTTAGTTTGCTGAGGATAATGGCTTCCAGCTCCATCCATGTCCCTGCAAAGGACATGATCCCATTCCTTCCTATGGCTGCATAGTATTCCATGGTGTATATTTACCACATTTTCTTTATCCAGTCTATCACTGATGGGCATTTGTGTTGATTCCATGTCTTTGCTATAGTGAATAGTTTTCTATATAGTGTTTTATATAGTGCTTGTGATTTTACTTAATTTCTGGAAGTGGATAATGTAATTTTCAGTTAACTAGATGGTCAAATAACCAGTAGTGTTAATTCCTTCACTACTGTGACTCAATGAGAGTTCACTGTATATGTGTGAGCTGAACAGTAATATTTGCAATAAATGGAAATTCATGAGGTAAAATTGTTCTGGAAGATCATTTGCAAATAAATTAACTTAAAAGATCTATTTACATTCTAATACCACTGATTAACAAGAAATATTTATCATAGGAGAAAGAGGAGAGAAGAAAAATTTCTGCTAATTAAGCCAACTGAACATTTATTCCCAATAATTAATGGAATAGAATCCATGGACTAAGTTCACAAACACAAACCTGAAAATATGCAAAGCGCATTGTAAGTGCTCAATAGATGTGACATTAAAATAAGCCTGGTTAATATTCTACATGGATTTGTATGTTTCTAAAGCTGTGCAAATACAACCAGCCTAAATCAGCACTTTTCAAACTTTAATGATCACACTTTGAGTAGCAAGGACCTAAAGAACATGTTAGTAAATGAATCTCCCTTAAACACATCCGTAGGTAGAAAAATTGATATTAATAATATCTTTTTCTGTTCACCTTACATTACTGGACTGTAAGTTAGCAGCAAGGCTGAAAGAGTCTACTTTGTTTTATGCTTGAAGTTCACTGCACAAATCCGGCCTCATTTAACAGATTGGGAAAATGATTTTAGAAATTAAAGGCGATTTTCATGCTATTCATTTTTAGCTTTTTCCGCATGTATGCAGTTACGCCTATGCAGGAGTAATCACTGTTCACTCAATTGTATTTTGAAGATGGTAATAAGCAAAATTCATTGCCAGGATAAGAATAAAATATCAATTGCTTTCTTTGTTCATTCTCTAACAGCGTCATCTGGTAGACAGAATTACAGGCCTAATACAACACTCAGAAACTGAAGAAGATGAAATTCATGCATCCTTGAATTGATCTTGATCATTTCTGCACAATTCATCAATCAAGGAAAGGACAAAAAGATGGCTGGCTTTGTGGGCCTGCAATTTGCTAGTTGTTTAGGATGCCTGATTTTCACATTCAAATTGCTGCTATATTTTCAATCTTAAAAAAAAAAGGCTTTTTTTAAATAAATAATGCCTCTGGCCTGCATTGTATGGTAGAGGGTTTTTTTTTTTTTTTTTTTTTTTTTTTTTTTTTGCACTGTTTAGGATAACAAAATTATACTGAGGCTTATAAGTGTATTCAAGGAAGTAAATAGTTTTTGTTCCTTGAATGTTAGTCATGCACGGAGTTACTCTTTACATCCCCTTTAGAGGTAAATCAAAAATTCTAAACAGTAGTTTTGGCCATCTAGTAGATTATTTCTTTAAGATTCAAATATTTTAAGTCATAGGCGTGACGATTAACATATAGGACACTGTCAGTCTTTGAGTTGTGTGTCAGAAAATTCATCAAAATTAAGGACACCTCCCTTACCACGCACCTGCTTTGATTCCTATAATGACTAAGTGAAAAGTTTTCCTAACTCTATATTTCCTAGTCAAGACATTGCAATGAAGCATTGAAATGCTCACGCTTCTTCCAAGACTCAATAATTGCTTGATTTTTATTTTTCTAAGGTCTGTCCAGTCCTGGATTCTTGACTACAATGTTTCACTTAGCATTAGGAACAAACTGAGGGATTTGCCCATTCCTCAAAGCCAAACTTCATTAAGCAAGACTGGCTAACTCTTTCTAACAGGGAAGGTGCTCTGTCTCCTTTGATTAACCCCAAATTGGGCAGAATTTGTGTTTCAAACCCAGAAACTTCTGAAAATAAGAGGGATGGGGGAAGAAGCTACTAACAATTACACCAGAACAACAGGCAGGAACCAGGCTCTCTTGGGGCAAACTGGAACATTTAAACACCTCCATCTGAATCAACAACCAGTCATCAACTCTTGTATCATTTGTGACACCAAAGGATAAGTTCTCCTCACTATTCTCTAACTAAATGGAGGATACAACGAGTGTTAAAATACATGATATTCCTATATAAATGTAAGGGCAAATTTATTGTGATTGCTTCTTATAATTTCCTTCATTTCAAGCACAGTGAAGAAAAAATAGGCTATCGATCACAAAGGCAATCTTCTATTAATTTTGTGTAATTGGGCTTTGGGTAAAAACTCAGGCATTAGATAATTAGAAAAATGTTCAAAGTACAGGTATTCTGTGTTGTCAATTCTGGACTGTTTCTTTCTCTTTAAAAATCAGTTGGCGATAAAAAGAAAGAGGTTGATGTCTTCTAAAAATTAAGGTGCTCAACCAAAGCTTCTGTTTGTGTGTAGGCCAGTCCACCTTCATAGGTTGGTAGGAGTTATTCACACAGAATTATTATTTAGTTCAGTAAAGAGTTTTAAGTTAGCACCAACAGAAAATAAATGACTATTCAAGGCTCACAGTTCCAAAGCCAGAGTATGTTCACAATGATGATTACAGCCCATGCAATTTTAAAATAAGAATCACCAATCTCCCTTAGATTCATTATAGAAAAAGCTTATTGATGAACACACAAGACTATGTAATTTAGAGAGATATGGCTTTCCAGTAAATACTCTGAAATAATTGCATTGTAAAATATACTAAATGGCCCAGGCCTAGAGAGTTGGTAGCATAACTCAATGACATCTGCAAGGATATCTGACAGAAATAGTGATTTCAGATTTGAGTAATTGACCTCAGGCAATTCTTTCTGTTGGCCTTCTTTAGGGAATAGGGTAGAATTATTTGTTTAATTTCTGACAATAAAAATATATTATTAATATAAAGGAAACCAAATGTTTCTCTTCATATTATGGGATTATCAATTTTCATTATCCCCAAGTGGCTTCAAATTATTAAGAAATAGTTAAAATGAAGAGAGGCCTGAAAAATACCTATCTCCCTTTTCTCAAAATTATTAGCTGATCTGTCGGGGGATAGTTTCTGATTGTTTTTCTTAAGACCACATTAAGATTCACCCAAAACAAATGACCTCATCTAGATCAGCTGTCAGCTCTGCATTTACTTGCATTATCTCCAGAACACAAGCTGTTACTTGGTGTATTCACTCAAACAATGAATTATTTCAGGAAGGAAAGAAAATCAGTCAATCTGGTTAAGGAAAATGAATAATTGTTTGAAATGACCAGGAAACAGAGTGGTAACAAATAATCCAGAAGTTCCACGTGCAAAGGTCTTCTGTATTTAATAGCTCCATGAATAAAAGTGCCTCATTGCTATAAATACCAGGAAACAATGATTTAATATAGCTGCAATTCTGTTTGTAAATAGCCAGAAACTTGTTTTTGTAACATAAATATTTCACTTGAGTTTGAGAGGCCATACTTTTTTTTTACTTTTAAGGAATGTTTACCATTATACATTCTCATACCTCCACATCATATAAAACTGTGATGTTAGTGTGTGTATGTGGTTAGGAGAATGAGAGTAACATAGAACTTGGTGGAACCATCCCTAGAGGGTAGCATTCAGAAACTAGGCAAAATATGGGCCATAGTAAAAAAAAAAAAAAAACTGTCGGTTGTTACTCAATAAGAGGTGTAAAATCAATTTATAGAGTAAATATAACCATTTAAAAAAATTGAATACAGTAGAAAATATCCATTTCACATGTAGTAAGAACAGTAAAGGTAAGTGATTTTTTTTTCAGCTTATGTAAATGAATAGGTTATGGACACTGGTTATAACATCAAATATTATTCTTTCTGTGGGACACATTAATAAATGTTTGAGCTCCCTGATTTAGAGAAGCATATGTTCATATGATATGATAGATATAGAGATGAAGAGTGTGATAAAGTCTTTCCCCCTAAATCTTTTGTTATATGTGTGGTTCAGATAACCGTTAAAGTGACTTTTGCCAATAAAATCTCAAGTGCAAATAAAGAGTAAAATTCTAATAAGATATGATGTAATAGAAAGTGGGGGGTGTCACATTAGAGAAATAAGAAGTCTGGATGTGTGACACTATAGATGGATGAATGCTGATAGTAAATTGATTATGAATTGGTTCATTCTTCTCATTTATCAAAGATGTGATGCAGCTACTTACTGGAACTTACATGCTATATTAGTTTTCTAGGGCTGGAACTTACATGCTATATTAGTTTCCTAAGATTCCCAGTTTGTACCATAAACTGGGAGGCTTGAAGCAATGTAAAATAATTGCCCCACAGTTCTGGAGGCAAGAAGTCCAAAATCAAGTTGTGGGCAGGGAGGAGCTCCCTGTGAAACCTGCAGTGGAGAATCTCTTCTCTTGCAGCATCTGGGGTTTAGTGGCAATCCTTTGAGTTTCTTGGCTTGTAAATGCATTATTACAATCTCTGCCTTCATCTTCACCAGCCACTTTCCCTCTGCATGACTCTGTCTTCACATGGCATTCTCCTCTCTTATGAGCACATGAGTCATATTAGAGTCTATGCTACTCATATATGACCTCATCTTAGCTAATTATATCAGCAATGACCCTATTTCCAAATAGGTAAAATTCTGTGGTACTGAGGGACAGGGCTTCAACATATCTTTTAAGAGGACACAATTCAACCCATAATACATGTCAATACTAAAGATGTTGGGTCACTAGCAATTATCTGTTCCTCTTCCCTTCCTTTTTTCCTAGGAAACCCCAAATACTAGAACACAAGATAGCTGCTCTGATTTGCTCTCCCCCAAAATAAACTATTTTTAAATTAAATGGTCTGTTACTCTTAGATATAAATGGTTGTTGCTGATATTGACTATCAGGTTACCATTCATCCAGATGATCATTCTAACCACACTTCATCTGCTTACAAATGTTAACCTGGGAAGAGAAGCTGGGACTTACTCTGTGGCAGTATTCCTCAAGTATGGTCTGTGGGCCAGTGGTGGGACTGGTTCCCCTGGCCGCAAATTCTACTGATAGAAAATTAATTCCCCTGGTAGAATGTTAGATGATTTGTTTCTTCACAAGCTCCATGTTCTCTCTCCACTAGGTAATAGGAATGCGTGGAGACGTTATTCCACAGGAGCTCTTCTTTTACCTAAATGTGTTGCGGTGTTGTCGGTTCGATGTAAGAGGTAAAAGTTTCTTGGTTAGGCTTGAGTCTAAGCCATGTTTTCTAATCCAGTTTAACCAGATATTTACATTGGGATTTCAGGCATTTCCCCATATTAATAAGGCCCAGTTATCCAATGTTGATGTACATATCTTTTTTAGTAAGGGCAATAGAAGGGATTTTTATGTTAAACAGACAAAACATACTAGTATGTAGAATGCCCTGTAGCTCTTCTGTTCAGGACAGAAAATGTATTGGAGTCCGTTTTGCCATGGTCTTGCCTGACCAGGCTCATAGCCATTTGTGGGGACACAGCACCAGTTGATAGCACCTTCCAGAGAAGAAAATAGATGAGCAAATGCTGTTTCAGCACTAGGCTGAGTCAACTAGGCATATTCAACATGCACTATCTGCTATGAGCCTGTCTTCTTGCTTGGTCTATAACTATAAACTCTGTCTCTTACTTGGAAACCCTGCTGACCAGGCCTCTACCACTTCTTACTACAGCTTCTGCCCTTGTTCCCCAAGCACAGGCTGCATCTTCATCAATAGCTCATAGGTCTTCCCAGGACATGCCCTAGTGGCTTACAGGAAAGCATTATGTCATTTAGTAAGAAACTTTTAAAAATCAATTGATGTCTTTTAGTTAATTATATGACATGGGTGAATGGAGGAATAGTGGATACCACTATGAACCACCTCAGAATAAGCGCACAGAAAGATAAATACACACACACATATGTACATAAATATATATATATATATACACACACACACACACACACACACACACACGTATTGTATTAGGGTTCTCTAGAGGGACAGAACTAATGGAATATATATATATATATATATATATATATATTTATTAAGTATTAACTCACATGATCAAAAGGTCTCACAATAAACTGTCTCCAGGCTGTGGAGCAAGGAGAGGCAGTCTGAGTTCCAGAACTGAAGAACTTGGAGTCCAATGTTCGAGGGCAGGAAGCATCCATCACAGGAGAAAGATGTAGGCTGGGAAGCTAGGCCAGTCTCTCTTTTCACATTTTTTTGCCTGCTCATATTCTAGCTGTGCTGGCAGCTAATTAGATTGTGCCCACCCAGATTAAGGGTGGGTCTGCCTTTCTCAGCCCACTAACTCAAATGTTAATATCTTTTGGCAACACCCTCACAAACACACATAGGATCAATAGTTTGTATCCTTCAATCAATCAAGTTAACACTCAGTATTAACCATTTTATATATATATATATATAATTAGCATTCACCTCTTGGGCTCAAGTGATCTTCCCGCCTCAGCCTCCCAAGTAGCTGAGGACTACAGGTGCATGCCACTGCATGCAGCTAATTTTTTTTTTCTTTTTTTGTAGAGATAAGGTCTTTTTTTGTTCCAGATGCTGGTCTTAAACTCCTGGCTTCAAGCAATTCTCCCACTTGGCCTCCCAAAGTGCTAAAATTACAGGCATTAACCACCACGCCCAGCCCAGATTTTAATTTTTTTTTTGTTTGTCCTTTATTTGGGCATTAGCCAGTAGAAATCATTACAAATGAAAATATATAAAAAGTGATGACTGTGCCATGGTGACGCCTGAGACCTGCAGTGAGTTTATTTGTTAAAGCTCTTGTTGCATTATTGTTCACCCACCCAGTCAGAACAAAGCGTGGGGCTCTAATTAATAAGGTAACTTGTCACCATCAATGTTCATCTGTGGTGCTGAGATAAAGTGGCATTTAACCCTGCCTGTGTTCACTAGTGGCATTGCCAAGACTCTCCAGGATGTGGCCCAGAAATTTTTAACTGACAAAGTATTTTGAAATTTTATTTTGAAAGAAATAAAACTGACAGTATGCCAAAATAAATATAGCTGCTGTATAAATTGCAGGCATTCTGTGAAATGTATTCTAGGAAAAAGGGAAAACAAATAATGTTGTGTGTTAGAAATATTAAGTCAAGAATCAAATAAAAGGCAAGGGGAAAGTTTCAGAAAATGAAATGACCTCTCTCTATCTCTTCTCCACCCCATAAATATATGTAATGTCCTGCTATGAGTGTGTGTGTGTGTGTAACACAAAACTGGCTTTTTGCCCCCAATATCACAATACTCTCAGCCCTGCCTCATCCCCCAACTATTTCTGGTTTTATGTTACACAGGTAGTACCAAACAATTCTATTCCTACTGACATCATTGCTCATTATCCAGAATCATTTTAACCCTAAAAAGGAAAAGATATCCTTTATTGAATGCTGCTAAAGAATAATTTTTTAAAAATATAAATTATGACTCATGTAAATATAAAAAGAACATGTCAGAAATTGACACGTTAATGAGAAAACAAATAATCTCTAATATTTATATAGAGATTTATACTCTCTACTGAAAAGGAATCATTTGCATAGCAAAGAAGAGAAAATATCCCTATTACCATCAATTTTCTACAAGTTAATGTCTTTCTCTACAGAGTTGGATCATAGTCTAGCAAAGGCAAAAGTGCACATCTCTATAGGACAGATAAGTCCCAAGACTCTACTTCAGAGCATTCCAGTGAAAGAATGCCCAGTAGTCTCTTTTGCCTATTCCAAAGTCTTAAATATTTCCTACATATAATAATACACATAGATAGATTAGATACACAGATAGATGATAGATAGATAGATAGATAGATAGATAGATAGATAGATAGATTTTTTTGGGGGGGGGTGTTAGAGACTCTCTAACTTTAAAAAAGAGACGGTTGATGGAATTCCATCTTCAACTATTTATTAGAACAAACAGTTCTAATATTGGTGAAGTCAGGTCTCAAATAGCTGTGCAAACTCCAAGGACTCTATATACATCTCGTTCATGAATAAGGCTCAGAGCTCCCTTAAAGCGCCCTTCTCTGCCAACTTGAAAGGCAGTCAAAATCAGAGCTGCTTCTCATGGATTACTTTCCAATATTTTTACATCAGAAAAAGGGGTGACTTTTTAATTGCCTTGCTGACACCTAAGTCTCACTGGAGGAATTTAGGTATATATTTTTTAACAGGTTGCTCTGTTTTGCTTATAAATAGGTTGAATAATGAAAAATCCTAAATATTTTTGTAGGTTAGGCCTCAATGTTCACTACAAGATACATCCAATTCACCTGCTGTAACAATACATTTTAAACCAAAGCATGATATATGCTTTTTCTTCTTCTTTTTCCAAGGAAAAACCAAAGGCATTTTCATATCCCTTAGAAAGTTTGCCATTTTCTCATTCCTCTCACACATCTTAAATACTTGAGATAAGTGTGCCTTCAGTGAGCTGAGACAGTAGACAGTTTTGTTTTGGTTCAGTTGTATCCAAAATTATAGAATGTAACACTAGTTGTATATTTGGGAAGATAATAATTAGTCTAGGCAAAAGAAAGGATGAAGTTTAGAAACCCTAGTTGGTCCTGGAAATGAAACATATGGTAATGATCAGAAATTCATCTTAACCTTGAGCAACACTGAAAAGCACAAAGATATGGATCAACCACAGAAAGATCTAGTTCTGCCTGGCACTAGTTCATTTCTGATTATGCCTACATTCCAGATGGATGACAGTGACCACTAGACCTCTGTATCACTTTTAATAAACATCCACTCCATATTATCTTCAGGAGAAAAAATTGTTTGGATTCTCTCTTTTGCATGGGCTGCCTCCTAAATTCAAGTCAAGTCATTTTAGATGCTACATTAAAACAGCACAGTGGTACGATGTTTTACTGTCATGATTCCTTCTTATAAAATTACCTCTGTGTTACAAATTATCTCTGTGCTAAGGAACTCTACTTCTACAGTTTATTTAATTCAGCATTCTTCAAAAGCCATGAAATGAATTTTGACCCAAAGCAACAAAATACCCTGGAGATATGCTTATGAAATTTGTCCACATTCCAAGAAATGAGAAGTGATGTCTACAGAAGAGTGGTAAAGAGTATTTCATATGACAGTAAGAGTTCAGTTTTCCATCCAGTTGAAGGTAGAAAGAATTATACGGAATTTCAGCATCTTTTAAAAAAGGGGTTTATGAAACATTTCTTTTCATTGTCAGATTCTGGCTGCTTCTATAATGGAAGTAATCAGTATTATTTGTTAGAAAATTGCATTTGTGATGATAAATGTCTTTTCAGTTGCCTAAAATTTCTCTGCTTCTCTCTAATTACAAATCCATCTCAATTTATTGCTTCATGTGATTTAAAAAATATAATTAAGTGTGATGTTAATGTATCCTAGTTTGACTATCTTGTATTTGATCTATGGAATGTCATTTACTTTTCTGGAACTGGTTATAAATTAGGCATAAGCACATTTTTTCTGGAGTCACAGAAACTTTGAAACCCTCATATTTGATTAGTAGTAAGTGACAAGTCATATTTCACTAACTGTACTGACTATTAAAAGAAAAAGTCAATGAGTCTATTTCACGCTTTTATATGAACAGAGATTCTGTGAACTGGTCCAGAAATGTGATTATAATTTCCAGGCTACATTTCCATGTGAAGCAATAATGCAGATAGATGTGCACAGTCATACTCTTAACCTGGGCCCTCCCTATGTACAGAACACCTCTGTGAAACCCACATCGAGTGTCAATGAAAGTATTTGCAAGGGGTTCAGGTGCTAGTAAACCTAGAATTTGTTCTATCCCTTACAAAAATGCAGGAATTCTAGACCCCGTAGCACACACATACCACACATTGATAATATCACTCAGATAGCAGAAGTCAGAGAATGTGCAGAGCAGGAGAGGGAGGCTATTGCTCTTGTAACTGGTGGTTATGGCTTTCTTACTATACAGCATGTGTTGAAAGAGGACCAATAT
The DNA here is from genome assembly GCF_000001405.40 of Homo sapiens. Lineage (NCBI taxonomy): Eukaryota > Metazoa > Chordata > Mammalia > Primates > Hominidae > Homo > Homo sapiens. Next base: position 90,192,474 of record NC_000010.11, on the reverse strand, counting down.
TCCTCATGTTCTTATATCAAAGAATGCTATAAAAGTTGAATTTAGGAAAGCCAGTTAAGCCCTCTACTGAAAGCATGTACTTTGAACAACGATAGAAGGTGAGAATTTTCTATAGAATAAACCTAATCAAAATGAAATATCCCTCTTGACACAAAGAAACATGAGAAATAGAATGTCTTGGGACAGGGACCAATGAATAATGAAGGCCATAAATAACATGGAAAGATGAGGACACATGAGAGAAGGTCAGAGGCATTTCTGCCAATCCTTGGGGAAGAGGGATGGAAAGTTGACATTAGAACCACATTATACAATGCATGTAATTTGCTGGATTAACTGTATGAAATATTGCATATAGCTCATACCATCAGAGGCATGAACTCTGCAAACCCTATTATTCTGGTTTTCAGTGGAAGATCCACAAGTGACTGCAGTCAAGGTTATAATTCCCAAGGCAAAGAGGGGATTTAGAGTATGTATACTCCCATGAGTAATTGGTAAAGTGATGGTCAACACAGAAGAATATTGGCACAGCTCATTCAAATAAATGTCATTATTTTGACTAATTATTTGACCATACCCAGTGGAAATAAAGATATGAAGAGAAGTTGTTATTATTTGGCTCTGTGTCCCCAGCCAAATCTCATCTGGAATTTTAATCCCCACATATCAAGACAGGCACCTGCTGGGAGGTGATTGGTTCATGGGGGCAGTTTTCCCCATGCTGTCCTTGTGATAGTGAGGGAGTTCTCACAAGAGCTGATGGTTTTAAGTGTGGCATTTCCTCACTATTTCACTCACTCTTTCACTCACTCTCTCCCGCCGCCATATAGGACATACCTTGCTTCTCCTTCACCTTCTGCCATGATTGTAAGTTTCCTGAGGTCTCCTGAGGTATGGAACTGTGAGTCAATTTTTTTGTTGTTGTTTATAAATTACGCAGTCTCAGGTAGTATCTTTATAGCAGTGTGAGAAAACAAAGATAGGAGGAACATTTTTTAAAATTTAGCAGGATGTGAGTACTAGTAATTCATTTTTATTAATAAGTGGTGAATTGATCCAGCTTGACTTATTACATCAACAACTTGTTCTTGGTACATCCAAGTGCAGGCTTTCACAAAAAATGTGAAATTAGGAGAGGGAAACAAACAAAATAAACAAGAATGTTTTCCTTTTCCCTCTATTCTTGGGAAAGCTCAAGGGAAAGCATTTCATGTTACACAAATGCTATGAAGTTATAGATCTTATACAGATGGTTCTTTCTGTTGAAACTAAAGAAATTGCATGCAGTCTTCAAAGATGCCTTCTGAAATACCTGTCTCTTTCTTGTACTTGTCTTGCATTGGGTACCTTTTTTATCTTGCAATTTTGTCTCCATTATTTGGGGAAATTTTTCATTCTAAAGTTATAACAAATGGGCCCACAAGGCGTAGTAGCAAGTGAGAGTCTTAGAGTTTATCTTTAGTGGACACTGATGATGCCCTTAACCAGCTCTGTGCATCTGTCTTCTACTTGCTTTGCTGCTATATGCTCCTGTGTCAGAGGATTACTCCGGAGAGAGGAAAGTGACTGGGCCAGTCACAGACTGACTTATGATGGAGCACAAAATGTTAGCTTCTTTGCCCCAAAGCAAAATCTAAATCTGAGGCTTCATTGCAAAATGTGCCCTTGCCTGCTTTCCTGCCTGTCCCTAGCCTGCTTCCCTACTCCTTTACTGGTTTTGCCTGAGAGCATTTCCATCTTAATCACTTGCACTCAGGTCCTTGGACCAGGATCTACTTCTGGGAGAACACTACCTAGGGCAGAGTTAGAAAACTCCAATTTGAAACCCAGTTAGACTTGCCAGCTGTGAAACCTTGAAGTCTTTCATTTAACTTCTAGACATATCAGTTTTTTTCTCTGTAAAAACTTCATCTCTTTTCTTTGTTTGCAGGACCATTGTGAAGAAGAAAGGAGCTGATGTATGTGAAATACTTAGCATAGGCCCTGTTGTGCAGCAGGCACTCAATAAACGTTAGTTGAATGTGAATATTTACTGGCATGTCTTGGCTTGTACTATTTAAAATCGACAGTATTATTTTTAGGGTTTTTTTCTTCACTTCTCACCAGCTGGCGTGCTAGATTCATATTTATTTCTCAGAATTTGTATGTCTTTTTCATGAGTTACTCAGTTCTTGTTCCCTTGTTTTCTCGTTGTGTTTAGCAGATTTGAATAGAAGGCAAGATTCTATAGTCGCAGTCCAGCAGCTTTGACCTCCACGTGGGGCTGGATTGTATAAATGGTTCTTATATAAATGGTTCTTATCACTCAACTCATGTAGAACTATAAGTTAAGAAATAAACTAAAGAAATCCAAAAGTTTATTTTGCCCCAACAAGATGATGGCTATCTGCCTATGTAAAGTATAAGGAAAATTTGAACAATTTGATCTCAGAAAGTGAGGACTCAGAAAAATGAAAGTGCTGAATTTCTCTTTAATTTTCTCTAATTCATCACCTTTATAGACCTGGTCTTTAAAAATTATTTGTACAATGCAGTCACCAATACCCTGAAACTATCTCTCATCTTTGTTCTGAAGAATGGAAAAAAAAAAAAAAACGCTCTCCCCTAATTCTGGGCTTAGCTTGTGTTATAAATCTGGAGCTCTGAGAGCTAAAATATACTCTGAACTTTTCTTCAGGGAACTTAAAGATCAATTTTCCACTTTTTAAGGAGATGCATCTAACAGAAAATATGGGTGTTTGGACAACCCTCAGTGATTTATGATCCTCTAGCCAGTTGCCCAGACTCATCTGCATAATTATCTTTCTCATTTTTCCTGGAATAGTTGGGGAGAAAAATCAAAAGAAATAATTATTTAATATTCTCAGATCATATCATTTGGAAGGGCTTAAGATACCCTAACAGCTTTCAAATGTCACAGTCCTTGAAATAATAATGTATTATGAGTATGGGTTTTCAGAATACGTAGAGCTTGATGGCATTGATTTTTCAATTTTGTTATAAACACTCTTCCCTTTATGAATGTTATTAGCATGCATTATTTAAATGTTATTTTTATTTACCTTCAGTTGTTGACAACATAAAAAGCAAAGGCTTATGAGCATAAGATTGCATTGAAATTGTTATACAAGCAGTAAGAAATAATGTTCCCCGTTGAAAAGGTAAAAAGCATGCATCTCAAAAACGATTATCCCAAGGCCAACTTACAATGGCTAAGTGGTCTTGCCTTCAGTGATGAGACACAGAACAAATTATATAAAACAAGCATTTGAGGATTGGCCATTATTTTCCTGACTTACCTCAATGTTGCACACAGCACACAATTGATGGAGAGTCAGATTTGATCATTTTTCTCTACTCTTCAGGCAAATTCCCAAATATCTTTATGGGCATAAGGTAGTCTTGCATGACTAAGATCTTCCTATCCAGTCCTCATCACCTTGGTCTTTAGCCATCTTAATCTTTTCCAAATCTCTTAAGGAGGCAGGAGAGCTGAGCAATGACATAAGGGGCTTGTGACATCGTCCAGAGTCAGGATGGACAGTGTGGAAGTAGAACGGCCTCATTTGGAGAAAACTACAGTTTCAAATCTTCAGGAAGCACTACAGAAATCTGTGGCCTCTTAGAAGAGCAATTGCATTTGCCATTTTGATGGGAATTGAGGTGACAGAATGCCACAGACTGGGTAATTTATAAACAATAGAAGTGAGACAGCCAGGTGAGAAGGGCTCCCTGGCAGAGCCTCTTACCAACCTGCTCACTGGGAAGAATTCACACTGGGGTGGAGCCACGGAAGTTCGCACCCTTTGCAGTGGGGAGGAGCCTGGCCCCTCCCCTTCTTCAGTGGAACCTGGGATTCAAACTGCGAGGCAGAAAGCACACTAGCAGGGAGTCTGGCTTTGCAGAGGGTCCCCGTTTCCCCTTTTTTCCCTTTTCACCCAATAAAACCCTGCTCTATTCACCCTTCAAATTGTCTGTAAGCCTAAATTTTCATGGCTTTGTGGCAAGGGCCCCCATCTTTAGCTGAACTAAGGAAAAGTCCTGGAACAGAGGTTTATTTGGTTCACTGTTCTAGAGGCTAGGAAGTCCAAGAGTTAGGGTCCACATCTGGTGAGGGCCTTCTGGTTGTGTCATAACATGGCGGAAGACATCACATGGTGAGAAAGCCCGCAAGAGAGAGGGATGGTAAGGGAGCCATACTAATTTTTTTATTGGGAACCCACTCCCTCAAAACTAACCTACTTCTGCGACAATAACATTAATTTATTCATGAGGGCAGAGCCCTCATCACCTAATCACCTCTTAAAAGGTCTCACCTCTTGGCCTTGTGGAGTGGCTCACGCCTGTAATCCCAACACTTTGGGAGGCCGAGGTAGGCGGATCATGAGGTCAAGATTTCGATACCAGCTCTGGCCAAAATGGCGAAACTGGGTCTCTACTAAAAATACAAAAATTAGCCTGGTGTGGTGGTGCATGTCTGTAATCCCAGCTACTTGGGAGGCTGAGGCAGGAGAATCGCTTGAACCTGGGAGGCAGAGGTTGCAGTGAGCTGAGATCGTGCCATTGCACTCCAGCCTGGGCAACAAGAAAAAGACTCCATCTCAAAAAGGAAAAAAAAAAAAGGTCTCACTTCTCAACATTTCCATTGGGGATGAAGTTTTCAACACATAATCTTTAGGGGACATTCAAGCTTTAGAAGGGCAGAAATCAAGTTGAGGTTGAGGAAGAAAAGGTGAAGAAAGAAGAGGGACTAAGTGGGAATAAAAGATGGGGGTAATTGGAAGGAAAGGAAGGAGAAGAGGAAAATAAAGGGGGTAGGAGAAGGAGGGGAAGAAAGAAAGGGAAGAAAAAGAAAAACAAGAAGAATAAGAGGACGAAAAGTGAAGAAAATGAGAGAAGAAAAGAGGAGTGGGGAAAGATAGAGGAATTGAAAGAAAAAGCAGGTAAAGAAGGGGAAGAAATAAAGTCAGGAGAATGCGTCTGCACTCAAGGTCCTGGCGTTTGGGGAATCTGAAATGGAATTCCAGGGAACCATAGGAAGCTCCTATCTGGACCTCCAGTGGCTAGCCCTACCTTGAAGGTGAACTCACGTTTCCTAGCCAGCCCTGAGAGGCAAATCACCCAACACACAACAGGTGCTAAATGAATGCTCATTGAATGCAATAAAATATATGTGTAAGAGAAATAAATTATACAAATTCACTGTAGACTAACATTCAACAAATATTCATGATAATTTCTTGTATGCCAGATACTGTTCTAGGGGTTGTTACACACTCTACCTCATTTAAACAGAGGTTTCTACTCACTTCACCCCACATACTTTGGGAGAAATGGTCAGAAGGAAGGATTCCCCACTGTCTTCCCCTCATTCTCTGGCTGGTGGCTATCCCCCAAATTGATTGACACAGGGACCTACTTTAATCTAGAAACTTTTACAACTCGTGGATTCTAAATTCTATGCACATCCTTTGTTATTTAAGGTAACTTAAGTTGCTGTAACAGATGACACAGTATAAGTCTATTATTTCTTCTTCATGCAACAGTCCAGGGCTAGCACTGGGTGGGCACCTTCCATTCGTGTGATTCATGAGCATTGGCTCATATCATTTTACAGCTCTACCATCTTCAGCACAATGTTTCAAGCACATTACGGAAGGGGAAAGGGAAGGTGGAAAAGGCACACCTGCGTCTTAGCAACAATGGTCTAGAAACTTGTGGATATCTTTGCAAATATCTTTCCTGCTCATATTTCACTGGCAAAAACAAGTTGCATGTCCATATGTAAAGCTGGTAGAAGGGTTAGATGTGAGACTTATTGGTGAGAAATGGCTATCAGTCCCATCCTAATAATTACTCTGCTCTGTCTGGGCATGAATCTTGGCAGAGAGCTGGCCACCTCTTCCACACACCCTCTTCAGTAAGGAAAGGCAGTGATTCTTAATCTGGGGTTCAGGCGCTACCAAAACATAAACATGGAAAGCTAATTTTACTTGAGGTATTATTTTCTATGAAAAGAAAGATATATTCTATAGTATAGTGTATAATTTGCATACATTTTTAAACTGAAACATGAGATTCCAAGAAAATAACATGTTTCAATTATCACTCAAACACACACAAACAAACACACACAGGCACACAAATATTCACACAGAGCATCAATCATCCTATGCTATAAGTGGAGAGTTTTGAGGAATTCTTAAATAATTGTTAAAAAACATAGGTCTTAAACCTTAGCAGTCTTTCCTTTTCTCCTTTTAAGTATTTGTTTACTTCATTTAATAATATAATTTTGCTGTGTTGCTGGATTCGGTTTGCCAGTATTTTATTGAGGATTTTTGCATCGATGTTCATCAGGGATCTTGGTCTAAAATTCTCTTTTTTTGTTGTGTCTCTGCCAGGCTTTGGTATCAGGATGATGCTGGCCTCATAAAATGAGTTAGGGAGGATTCCCTCTTTTTCTATTGATTGGAATAGTTTCGGAAGGAATGGTACCAGTTCCTCCTTGTACCTCTGGTAGAATTCGGCTGTGAATCCAACTGGTCCTGGACTTTTTTTGGTTGGTAAGCTATTAATTATTGCCTCAATTTCAGAGCCTGTTATTTGTCTATTCAGAGATTCAACTTCTTCCTGGTTTAGTCTTGGGAGGGTGTATGTGTCGAGGAATTTATCCATTTCTTCTAGATTTTCTAGTTTATTTGCGTAGAGGTGTTTATAGTATTCTCTGATGGTCGTTTGTATTTCTGTGGGATCGGTGGTGATATCCCCTTTGTCATTTTTTATTGCGTCTATTTGATTCTTCTCTCTTTTCTTCTTTATTAGTCTTGCTAGCGGTCTATCTATTTTGTTGATCTTTTCAAAAAACCAGCTCCTGGATTCATTGATTTTTTGAAGGGTTTTTTGTGTCTCTATTTCCTTCAGTTCTGCTCTGATCTTAGTTATTTCTTGCCTTCTGCTAGCTTTTGAATGTGTTTGCTGTTGCTTCTCTAGTTCTTTTAATTGTGATGTTAGGGTGTCAATTTTGGATCTTTCCTGCTTTCTCTTGTGGGCATTTAGTGCTATAAATTTCCCTCTACACACTGCTTTGAATGTGTCCCAGAGATTCTGGTATGTTGTGTCTTTGTTCTCATTGGTTTCAAAGAACATCTTTATTTCTGCCTTCATTTTGTTATGTCCCCAGTAGTCATTCAGGAGCAGATTGTTCAGTTTCCATGTAGTTGAGCAGTTTTGAGTGAGTTTCTTAATCCTGAGTTCTAGTTTGATTGCACTGTGGTCTGAAAGACAGTTTGTTATAATTTCTGTTCTTTTACATTTGCCGAGGAGTGCTTTACTTCCAAGTATGTGGTCAATTTTGGAATAGGTGTGGTGTGGTGCTGAAAAGAATGTATATTCTGTTGATTTGGGGTGGAGAGTTCTGTAGATGTCTATTAGGTCCGCTTGGTGCAGAGCTGAGTTCAATTCCTGGATATCCTTGTTAACTTTCTGTCTTGTTGATCTGTCTAATGTTGACAGTGGGGTGTTAAAGTCTCCCATTATTATTGTGTGGGAGTCTAACTCTCTTTGTAGGTCACTAAGGACAGCTTATCCACCATGATCAAGTGGGCTTCATCACTGGGATGCAAGGCTGGTTCAACATACAAAAATCAATAAATGTAATCCAGCATATAAACAGAACCAAAGACAAAAACCACATGATTACCTCAATAGATGCAGAAAAGGCCTTTGACAAAATTCAACAACCCTTCATGCTAAAAACTCTCAATAAATTCGGTATTCATGGGATGTATCTCAAAATAATAAGAGCTATCTATGACAAACCCACAGCCAATATCATACTGAATGGACAAAAACTGGAAGCATTACCTTTGAAAACTGGCACAAGACAGGGATGCCCTCTCTCACCACTCCTATTCAACATAGTGTTGGAAGTTCTGGCCAGGGCAATCAGGCAGGAGAAGGAAATAAAGGGTATTCAATTAGGGAAAGAGGAAGTCAAATTGTCCCTGTTTGCAGATGACATGATTGTATATCTAGAAAACCCCACTGTCTCAGCCCAAAATCTCCTTAAGCTGATAAGCAACTTCAGCAAAGTCTCAGGATATAAAATCAGTGTGCAAAAATCACAAGCATTCTTATACACAAATAACAGACAAACAGAGAGCCAAATCATGAGTGAACTCCCATTCACAATTGCTTCAAGGAGAATAAAATACCTAGGAATCCACCTTACAAGGGATGTGAAGGACCTCTTCAAGGAGAACTACAAACCACTGCTCAACGAAATAAAAGAGGATACAAACAAATGGAAGAACATTCCATGCTCATGGATAGGAAGAATCAATATCGTGAAAATGGCCATACTGCCCAAGGTAATTTATAGATTCAATGCCATCCCCATCAAGCTACCAATGACTTTCTTCGCAGAATTGGAAAAAACTACTTTAAAGTTCATATGGAACCAAAAAAGAGCCCGCATTCCCAAGTCAATCCTAAGCCAAAAGAACAAAGCTGGAGGCATCACACTACCTGACTTCAAACTATACTACAAGGCTACAGTAACCAAAACAGCATTGTACTGGTACCAAAACAAAGATATAGACCAATGGGACAGAACAGAGCCCTCAGAAATAATGCTGCATATCTACAACCATCTGATCTTTGACAAACCTGACAAAAACAAGAAATGGGGAAAGGATTCCCTATTTAATAAATGGTGCTGGGAAAACTGGCTAGCCATAGGTAGAAAGCTGAAACTGGATCTCTTTCTTACACCTTATACAAAAATTAATTCAAGATGGATTAAAGACTTGCATGTTAGACCTAGAACCATAAAAACCCTAGAAGAAAACCTAGGCAATATCATTCAGGGCATAGGCATGGGCAAGGACTTCATGTCTAAAACACCAAAAGCAATGGCAACAAAAGACAAAATTGACAAATGGGACCTAATCAAATTAAATAGCTTCTGCACAGCAAAAGAAACTACCATCAGGGTGAACAGGCAAACTACAGAATGGGAGAAAATTTTTGCAACCTACTCATCTGACAAAGGACTAATATCCAGAATCTACAATGAACTCAAACAAATTTACAAGAACAATACAAACAATCCCATCAAAAAGTGGGCAAAGGATATGAACAGACACTTCTCAAAAGAAGACATTTATGCAGCCAAAAACCACATGAAAAAATGCTCACGATCACTGGCCATCAGAGAAATGCAAATCAAAACCACAATGAGATACCATCTCACACCAGTTAGAATGGCAATCATTCAAAAGTCAGGAAACAACAGGTGCTGGAGAGGATGTGGAGAAATGGGAACACTTTTACACAGTTGGTGGGACTGTAAACTAGTTCAACCATTGTGGAAGTCAGTGTGGCGATTCCTCAGGGATCTAGAACTAGAAATACCATTTGACCCAGCCATCCCATTACTGGGTATATACCCAAAGGATTATAAAACATGCTGCTATAAAGACACATGCACACGTATGTTTATTGTGGCACTACGCACAATAGCAAAGACTTGGAACCAACCCAAATGTCCAACAATGATAGACTGGATTAAGAAAATGTGGCACATATACACCATGGAATACTATGCAGCCATAAAAAATGATGAGTTCATGTCCTTTGTAGGGATTTGGATGAAACTGGAAACCATCATTCTCAGCAAACTATTGCAAGGACAAAAAACCAAGCACTGCATGTTCTCACTCATAGATGGGAATTGAACAATGAGAACACATGGACACAGGAAGGGGAACATCACACACCGGGGACTGTTGTGGGGTGGGGGGAGGGGGGAGGGAGAGCATTAGGAGATATACCTAATATAAATGTCAAGTTAATGGGTGCAGCACACCAACATGGCACATGTATACATACGTAACCTGCACGTTGTGCACATGTACCCTAAAACTTACAGTATAATAATAAAATTAAAAAAATAATAAGAATAATATAATTTTGCCATGGATTTTAGAACTGAAAGATTCCCTGACCCCTTTTCTCTTCCCCTATCAAAGAGATAGTTCAAACTTTAGAGACCACAGTAGAAGTTCAATGCTTTATTTGCCCCAACTTAGGTGAATTACTGAAATAAGACACAGGAACAAGCTTCACCAAACTTCCTTCTCCATTGCCAGAGGTTCCTTTTTATATGGAAGGTGATTTTCTTCTCCTCTCTAAAAGTGCACAAATGTCATAGAGAGAGGAATAAATTAGCAACACAAAATCTCATGGTGTTGCATGAAATTAATTTTTAATCCAGATTAATGTCCAATGCAGAGGTAGAAGAGGAAACGAAAGTTGATGGGGGCAGATAAAGTATAAAAGAATAAGACTTTGGAGGTGACAAGGATGAAGCTTGGGGTGGCCCCCATGTGGAGGATAGGCAACTTCTCTGGCAGAGGTCACACAGACAGGTGGGGACCGAGGACCCCACTGAGCCTCCTTTTTCTTCTCCCCAGCTGCATACAAGTGTGGTATTGCAGCCTCTAGCCTCAAGAGAGTATGTTGAATTCCTCCCTCACAAGTGAATTTACTCACCTGTAAAACTTAGATTGGGCAACACCAGCCCTGAAAACATAATTTTCTCAAGATAGATAGAAAAATATTTTTCAAAGCTGGCCTAATTCATCTTTCCATATCACAAGAGAAGGCGTTCATAATAATCTGTAGTATAAAGCAGCAATACAGTGTGAAAATGCTCCCACCTTACAGAAAACATATAAAAAGCTTTCTGGTTTTATAGCCTGGGAAGCCTGCTCACAAATGGCACATTAATCTTGAATTGGTTGTTGGCTTGGATTATATGTTTACTTTTGTGAAATGTCATTTTCCCCAGGCACCAGATAAGTTATCAGTTCCAAAACTGCAACTGTGCCCATACTGATAGCGCATGGCAGGAGAATTTTGAGTTACCACATCCGTAAAATTGCCACAATTCTTTCATATTACTCAGGGGGTAATTTTACTCAAGTAGATTATCTGTCATTAATCTTCCTGCTCTAGGAGTGTACTGTATTGTGATTCAAATGTTATAATGAGCCTTTTCTAAGGAGAAAACTGCTTCTCTTTACATATTTCAACCTTATCATCTCATCTGAAGGGTAATTTAGTTTCCTGCCTGTCTAAAGTGATCCATCAGATTATGAACTGTTGACATTCTGTGCTGTCAAGTTATTCAAACCAAGCTAAGAATGAGGTCAGCTTACCAATGTGGAAGCATCAATTGACTGCTTGACAATTCTCCTCAATAAGCCCCCAAATGATCAATGTACTTTCCCACTGAGAAAATCTATAAAAATATCTTGTCGGTTGTATGGATCTGTTGTGGCCATACGGGCATGCGGGTGGGATGGAGAGCGTTAATTTTGCACTTGAAATTCCTCACAGTCTACTGCACAGATTGTAGGCAACCATCCAGGATCCTACAAGCAACTGTGCGCCTAAATTCCCATAAGATCTATAAGCCTACCAAAGATGGTTTTTCCAAAGTTGTCTCTCATACTTTTCTATTGCCACTTTGTCCTTGTGTCCCTCAACATTCTTGACTAAGAAAATAAGTATTTATGGCTGAAGCAATAAGGACATGTAGCCTCATAACAACACAGAAAAGAAGTCAGAGACAGATAAGAGAATATTTTAGGTCTGCTCAATAAGAATGTCCTATGCAAATTCTCTTACCTTCAAATTTCAGGATGAAGAGGGACTTCAAGAGTCATATGATCTGCCTGAAAAACAATACCCAAATCTTCTCAGTAATTCCAGCCTACTAGGTGTGCCTGGCCTTGAATCACTCAAGGGCTCACTTTCACCAAAGACATTCCACTCTTGAGTCTTTTCTTGCTGTTAGGAGACAATTTTTCCTGGAACCCAGGTGTTCTAGGCATCACCAGCCTCCTGAGAGTGCAACAGCCATCATATCAATTTAAAAAACTGTTCCGAGGACTCTCCATTGCTCTTTAGTTAGAAATACTCCAACCCAGAGAGGAAGGGTGACCTTCCCAAATATTTCTGAGAATCCTCCAAAGTACTTGCACCTATAATCCACATGTTTCTTAGGTCCCAGGAACTATGGATCCTAGATAAGGCCACTTTCCATTTAGACATCCTCAGGTCAGTGGGTTGAAGAGCCAATGATGTCACGCTTATGCACCAAACTACTACAGAACCATCCTTCACATCACTACACTCTCATTCTCTGTGTCTGGTAAGGAGAAGCATGACTTTGTGTCTCATGAGTACCTCTTTCAGAGGAAGTTCCCCTTGCAAAACCATTGAGATCTTAGTGACACAGTTCTTTATTTTATCCCACAGCTCTTTCCTGTCCATGACCTGCAAGTACCCCAAGGACTGGAGGGCTGGATGTGGTTTTGAAGAACATCAGGCACTGTTTAAAAAACCAACAAGAATTTGTTTCTAGCATAACTACAAGGGGCATCCATGCAGACTGTGGAAGGGCTGTTGATGGACGCCAGGGAATGGAATGCCTGTGTAGCACATGTTACATCGCCCTGCTACTTATCCAGGATGTGTCAGGAAAATGTTTGCACAAAGTTGCATAGTGTGAAAGCTGAAGCTGCTGATTGGCAAAGAAGCTGAGTCACCGAAGGAGGATAATCCCAGGCAGTACAGAATGAGCTCAGCTGAGGTTGTGCAATGGGTTGTGAATGACGATGAAGTTGTGGATCACCTCTGGTTCTGAGACACTCTGTTCTTGGTGTTCAGTTGGACAAAACCCAAACTCTTTTCCTCCAGGTAGCTCACATCACAAAGGGACAGTGTGGGCCTGGAGAAGCTAACTCTGAGAGGCTCCCTTCCATGAGGAAGACAACTCATGGTGGTAGTGGGTCCCTCAAAGAGATCACAAGAGACTTCCCCAGTAACTTTCTTCCTAAGCATATTTGAAAATACTTGCATTTGGAAGAGCAAATGCAAGTACACAGATTTTTGTTGTTCCGTGTGTAGTAAGTACATTTCACCCTGTACCTGTAACCAGAGCACTTTCAGATTCTAGGCCCTGAAGCTCATTTTGCCCACACTGATGGGTGCCTCTGTGTGTGTGGGTGTGCATGTGTGTGTGTGTGCCCCTGTGTGTGTTTTCTGCTCAGTTTTCCTTCTAGTAAAGAATTTCAAGACCCTTCCACATTCTGACCTCTCTGCAAACCTTTCTCTGTTTTAGCCAATTTCTCATTCTGACTTTTTAAGAATCTCTGTGTGACTATTTAAGAGAATATGAATTAGGCAAGCGAAGTTTTCTTCTTGCTTTTAAGATTCTCTTATTTTAATACCTAATCAATCAATAAGTGTTTGTCTGGCACTGACTTGCTTGTGATAAACTTTATAGGCAACACGAAGAAATATAGATGTGGTTCCTGTGCTTAAGAAACCTACATGCTACTTACAATAAATGTTTAGAACCAATATAACGAAATACATGACAAGGTGTCTAGGACTTCTTAGAAATGATGCCTCAGAAAAGATTGGGCACTTTCAGGGTGGTATGCTGCAGACAAAAAAGATACTTGCACACGTATGTTTATAGTAGAACAATTTGCAATTGCAAAAATACAGAACCAGCCCAAATGCCCATCAATCAACAAGTGGATTAAAAAACTGTGAGAGAGAGATATATATATATGCATATATATATACACATATACATATATATTCAAATACATATATATACGTGTATATACACACACATATACATATATATACACACACATATACATATATATATATACACACACACACACACACATATATATATATATATATATATATATATATATATATATATATATGCCATGGAATACTACTCAACCATAAAAAGGAATGAAATAACGGCATTTGCAGCAACCTGGATGGGGTTGGACACTATTATGCTAAGTGAAGTAACTCAGGAATGGAAAACCAAACATCATATGTTCTCACTCATAAGTGGGAACTAAGCTATGAGGATGTAAAGACATAAGAAGGATACAATGAACTTTGAGAACTCGGGGGTTGTGCAAGGAAGGATGGAAGGGGAGTGGGGGAAAAAATACTACAAACTGGGTACAATGTACACTGCTCAGGTGATGGATGCACCAAAATATCAGAAATTACCACAAAAGAACTTATTTGTGTAACCAAACACCACCTGCTCACCAAAAACCTATGGGAAAAAAAAAGAAATGATGCCTCAAAGAGGGTTTCAAAAAAGGTGGAGTTTACCATGGTCTTTTGGAGCAATCAAAAACATTTCAAAAAAGAAGTAAGACTTGAGTTCAAACAGAAAAGTTGGCTGTGAGTTTGACCAATCATGTAGAGGAATACAACTTGAAGAACCAATTAATTTTGGAAATTGGGGAACTTAAGATGTTATCCAAGTCAATCATGTGTAAGGCAATGAGTACCTGATCCAGCATGGTAGCAAAAGGCAGAGTGGATGAACAGATCCTGGGTCTGTTCCCCTCAGACTTACACCTTGCCCTTCCTCCATCCTGCTCTCTCACTTTGTTTCACAGGCCCTTGTGTCATTGGCTTCGGTAACCCCAACTCCTTCCTCTGTCCCCAGCCCAACCTTGAGTATGGTTGGTAGAAGCTTCTTATTGTTGCTAATCTCTAAGTGGTCTCACTGATCCCTATGTAACTTCATAGCTTAATCACTGGTGATATCAATTCACTCTGTTAAATTTTAAACATTTACATTATTTTCTTTTCTGGTTGGATCCAATCTTACGTAGATCATCCAAGATTATTCTCAATAGATGGATAGAAAACTTCATGAGGAAGAGTTAATAGAACTTGCTATTTGATTTTACATAGCAGTTGGAGACAATAACTAATAATATATGACTCCTTATCTTTGTAATCAGTTTTTCTGTGCCAGAAAACTAATTCAGAAGATAGAGCAGTAAGTGAGAAATGAATACTTTTGTACACTTTTCACCAAGAAGGTGGTGTGGTATTGGGCAAGTCACTATCATAGGCCATCCAACCAAATCTTCAAGCAGATTGATTTTCTGGAATATCATAGTTGATGAGACTATAAATGATTTAAGTAATGTAAGAAAAATATCGGGGTTTCAAAGATTAAGACTAACAAAACCAAAAGAATGAGAATGAAGAGATAGGGAATAAGAAACAAAGGAGAAAAAGAAGAAACTTGGAAGTGCTGAAAATGGTTATATCTAGACCAGAGTTTGCCCAACCATGGCCAGCAGGCCAAATGTGACGGATATTTGATTCTGTTAATAAAGTTTAATTGGAACAAAGCCACGTTCATTTGTGTATGCATTGTCTATGCCTGTTTTTGAGCTATGGTAACCAGATCTCATAAGAACTCACTCACTGTCACAAGAACAGTACCAAGGGGATGGTACTAAATCATTCCTGAGAAGTCTGCTCCCATGATCCAATCGGCTCCCACCAGTCCCCACCTCCATCATTGGGGATTACATTTCAACCTGAAATTTGGACAGGGACACATATCCAAATTATGTCACTTATCATGGTCTTTTTTTTCTTTTCATTTTTATTTTTTGAAACTGAGTCTCATTCACTCTGCCTTCCAGAGTGCTTGGATTATAGACGTGAGCCAGTGCTCCTGGTGACTTATCGCAGTCTTGAAGCCCTTGACTACGTCTTTCAGATCCTCATAGCGGCCATGTGCTGATATTCAGATCTCAGCACAGATGTCTTCTACTCAAAGAAACCATCCCTAATAATCCCAGCTAAAGTACCATCCTCCCTACTCATTCTGCATTAATCCTCCCTACTCATTCTGCATTAATTCACCCTGTTTTATTTTCTTCATTGCTCTCTTGGCTATCTAAAATTATCTTGTTTATTTGTGTACTTCCTCTCACCAAAACAGAGACCTTGTCTCTCAAGTTTATGGTTGCAATCTCAATGTCTAAAACAATTCCTAGCCCTCAAGTTCTCTACATGAGTTTGTTAAATAAATGAATTAGTGATTGAATGACTAATTTATTTGAATATTGCTTCAGTCAGATTCATACTCTTGGAGGCCAAAGATCATACAATTATTATATCCTTAGCACATTATATCATAAAAGATGGTGTTTCATTCTAGAAATATGCAAACTATAATTGAATTAGCTTAAACACTAAGGCATTCTTATGAGATGACAGATATTGATAATACTGATCTTTACAGGTTTTGAACATTTCAGGTGATGGTTACGGTTCCAACTTGCCGAAATGGATAATTATTTTTGCCTTCAGACTACAATAAACATTTGCAAATATCCAGTTTATTTATACTACTATACATTCATCCATAGGTAAAACCTACAAATTCACTCAATTGGTAAGAAAAAAGATTGCAAACCTAGCATCTTCAAAAGTGGTGCATTTCAGAACTAGTCATGGAGTTAGATGTCTGACACTATTGCAATGAAGCAAAATAAAAGGGTCTATTTATATTTTAGTTCTTTCTTTGATGACATTAATCATATGTGCTTTTGTTAGTTCAAGCTTGGTTCAAGATGAATAGGGAATAGAGTAGACCTCTGAATGTCATAGTCTTTTACTTTTAAGGTAATTTACCTACCAAAGAAAGAGAAAAATCAGTATTTGCAGGTGCAAATTCATTCAAAGTCAAGTCAGCTACCCAAAATCTAAGTTGTTATAAGTAGAGATGCTATGCTTGAAGTTCAGACCCTAGCTATTGAAATAAATTACTAGTGAAGGAAGAAATTGATTCTAATTCTGTAAGAGAAGGGACCTTAGAAAAAACCTGTCTTACATCCCACACGTACATTTGTCCAGATCTGAGGCAGTTATGTGCCAGCACTTGCAGTTCGAGAGCGGGTGAATGTGTCATCTGGGGAGGCAGCTGGCAGGCGTGGTAGGGCACAGTCATTTTGCAGGTCATGGCATTCCAGCATCTGCTCCCTAGCTTTGCAGATCCAGAAAATACAAAGTGTCAGTGTACTTGTAGTTGATTAATCCCTGGGAATTTACAAGAGACCAATGTACAAAGCAGAGTGCCAATTTTGCAATTCACTCTAAGAAATGTAATTGCCAAGTGGTCCAGAATGTTTATGTCAGCAGGAGAACACAGCCTTGCAATGACATGAGAGGGTAGGTCATAATCAGGAGTTTGCCGAGTGAGCCCAGACTGGGAGCAGGAGGAGGAAGCTGGATGACCTTAATCACCAGTGCCATTAGGCCTGACACATCCATTTTCAAATTGAGATTTACTTGCCAAGAAAGCAGGACACTTGGATTCGCCGGCCGGTGCTGGAAACACACTGACAATTCTTGCTCACTGGCCTTACTTTTTGCATATTCCTTGCCAGACACCCATGCATCCTCTCTTCACCTACATTAATACCATTGAATACAATATGTGTTTCTTTTACAGTCAATGAGGCCTCATTATTAAGAGTAATGAGCTAATATTTATTGAGTGGAAATAAGAGCTATATGCATGCTAACCACTCATGGGCAATTTTGTTATAATACTTGTTTTGAAAACAGAAACTTGTTCCAGAATGAAATGATATATTAGGGAACAACTTGAACATAATGTGAATTTTGTTTGCTTATGCACAACTTTTTTCCTCAAGAAACACCAATCGAATACAGAAAATGGCACTCAGATGAAGCAAACTGCTTAGGAATACACAAAATATATGCAGGAACACACTTTGAACATCTACCAGCTGCCTCAGTTCACCACATATGTGATGAGTCACATTGTCCACACCCAGTGTTAAAACTTTTTGGCCAATTTCGGATAGTGCTGCATCTATCATGCCACAATAACTCACAAGCTGAACCCTATTGACACCCAGTTGCACAAGCAAACTTTGGATCTTTTTTAAAGTAAAGGGCCGTATTTATTGTACTATGTATGTATTTCCTAACCATTTAACACACATAAAACAGCACCACCATTTCATTAAAGTCCTATCATCTCTTTGCATGTGTCACTGATGTTTTAGTGTTGTGCCTCTAATCCCACTTTTCTCATGAGCCTGTGGTTTCTTGTGTGATTTTGCATAGCATGGTGATTTTTAGGAAGGCATATGCTGTGTTCTAGCAGAAATGACTGTACCTTATTGTCTAGTATAATTCTTACCAAAACTATCATTTTTCATGTGAGGAAAATGAGATTCAAAGAGTTTGAGTAATTTACCCAAGAATAACATCTGGTAAGTGGTTAAGCAGAGATTCAAGCTATCTGCTGTGACATATTATGAAAACCTTGGGTCTCTCATTTGATATAGGAGCCAGCTTATGTTTTGAGGTGGATTTCACCAAGACCTAACAATAGCTCTCATGTACTCAGAGGCAATGTAGTGAGGTGGTTAAGAGTATGCCTTCTGGAGCCCTGGTACCTGGGTTCAGATCCTGGCTCTGCTGTCTGTGACCTGCGTGACAATGGGCAAGTTACCTAACGTGGCCTATTGTTGCAAAATGGCCCCAAGAATCTCCTTCATTATAACCCTGCCTTTTGCAATGTGATTTGCTATTGAGAGACAGATTTTATTTCCTCATGCCATGAATCTGGGCTGGCTTTTTGACCTGGTGTGATGAACAAACTATGGCAGAACCAAAAGTGATCCACCCCCAAGGTTAGGCCTCAGGAGCCCTGAAATGCTTCACTTGTTCTCCTGGAATGCTGCCACCACCATGAGGACAAGGCCAGATTAATCTGCAAGGGAATTAAAGATCACATGGCCCACTCACCCCCTCCCAGATGAGGAGTCAATGACCAGGAATGTGAATGAGGCCGTTGCAGACTCCCCAGGCCCCAGTAAGCCAATTGCTAATTGCAGACACATAAGTGGCACCAACCAAGATCAGCCAAACCAGGCCCAGATTAACAGAATTATTATTTTACATTGCTAGATCTGGGAGTTATTTGTTGCATGGAGAAAAGGCCAGGTGATACATTTAACTTCTCTGTACATCAACTATCCAAACTGTGCAATGGAAAAAGTAACAGAGTTGTGAGGAGCAAATGAGTTAAATATATGAAATACTTAAAATAATACCTTAGGTGTTAAGCTCTGTTCTGATTGTCTGGTCCTCTACGAACAAAAATGGTGGATAAAATAATAATAAATTATTATTATTATTTCTCAAGATTCTGAGGGTTGACAGGGCTCAGTTAGGTAGTTCATGCTTGGGATCTCTTACACAGTTGCAGGCAGACAATGGCTAGGGCTGGAATCTTCTTCAGGGTTTCTTTACTCAAATGGTACCTGGAAAAGAAGACTCAAAATTTGGAGGCTGGCAGCTGGACCAACTGGAACTCAGACATCTCTCTCTCTCTCTCTCTTTCTTTCTCTCTCTCTCTCTCTCTCCCTCTCTCTCTCTCCCCCCACTCCATCTCTATAAAAGGTAATTTGAGTTACTGTATTGCTTACTTGCCAGCTGAAGATTCTCAAAGTGTGTTTCCACGAGAAATAAGCATAAGCTGGGTGGGCTTTTAGATCCTAGACTCAAAAGCCATGCAGTGTCACTTTGACACATTCTGTTCACCCAGGCAGTCAAAAGGTCAGGGCAAATTGTGAAGGGAAGGGATGTCCACTCCATGTCTTCATGGGAACTGTGTTAGAGAATTTGTAGATGTGTTTTAATACCACCATGATATCTCTATACGTGCATCCATAATTACATCATTCTCACAGCAACCCAACAAGGTTAGTTACAATAGTATGTCCATTATCAAAATGAGGAAACCTTGCCTGGGAGAGAATAAATAATTTGCCAATGATCACAAAACTGATAATTCTCGGAGCCTTCACTCCAACCAGGATGTTCTGAGTCAAAAGTCTGTAATTCCAATCTGTATGGGATACTACTAATCTTACTCATTTTGTGTAGGTGTCACAACCAACACACCTAGAGAGCAAAATAATCTCTGAATTGGGAGATACTCAATTATCACTCCCACATGTGACACGGGATGCGCCCACATACACACAAATAACTGATTAACCCTGTTGTTCTGAACCCTTGTTGCAAGCCCTGAACTCCACTGTTATAAAAATTATTAGTTTATTGGAAAGAAGAAGAAGAATGTGGTGAGGAATAAAAATTGAGAGTTCTCTCTCCCACAGAGGCTCACGTAGCTCTTGACTACATGGTCTAATCCTTTTCAGACTCCCTCAACTTATTCTTATTATACCTTCTGAGTGTGGTAAAGTGTGGAGAAAGATCTGCAAAACTACTGGTTCAGTCCAGATGGAGAGATGAAGAATTTAAAGGCAAAGAAAATGTAAAAGGCAGGGCAAAGGTAAAAAGAGGCAGCCTGGTGTAGGTAAAATTATCATAATTTTTTGCATCTATATAATACATAATGGCTTAAAAATCAGGTGTACATGCATTATTTTGCCTAATCTGAACAGCAAAAAAAAAAAGAGGGGGGGTATTTTATTCAACATCTGTGAATGGAAGAGAGAAAAATCTGTTTCCCATAGGCACACAAATAGGAACCATAGAACTGGGTCTGCAACTTGGTCATTGAGTCCAAGCCCTGAGCCTGTCCACCACTTGCAGGATGGGGTGGGGTATCTCAATCTAGTTTTGTTGGATATATACTGTTTGACTTGTTTATGGCTGAGTTTCCACATACTCTGAGGGGGTTGTTTTAAACGACTTTTAAGGTCCTTTCTCTGTCTGATGTTACATAATATGTGTATTAGTCTGTTTTCAAGCTGCTGATAAAGACATATCTGAGAGTGGGCAATTTACAAAAGAAAGAGGTTTATTGGACTTACAGTTCCACATGGCTGGGGAGGCCTCACAATCATGGTGGAAGGTGAAAGGTATGTCTCACATGGCAGCAGACAAGAGAAGAGAGCTTGTGCAGGGAAATTCCCTTTATATAATCGTCAGCTCTCATGAGACTTATTCACTATCACAAGAACAGCACAGGAAAGACCTGCCCCCCATGATTCAATTACCTCCAACTGGGTCCCTCCCACAACACGTGGGAATTCAAGATGAGATTTGCATGAGACACAGCCAAACCATATCAATGTGTCATGGTAAAAGTGTCACAGCTTGCATGAAGATGAGGCTCTGATGGCAGCAAAAGATCAAAATTACCCTTAAAGTTCTCTAAGAAAGATATCATACTGGAAACTGATATACATCACTCCTTAAGAACAGTTTTCCTCTTTGTGTTTTTCTCTGTTGGTAAGTTCCTTTAGTTGAGTCTCAGATGAAGTCAATGACTTTGGTTAAGGATCTCCCTGAATCACATTCAGCAGAAAGACATGCTCAGCCTGGGAACTGAGACCAGCAAAAGGGGCAATTGATTCATTCTTCCATGTAACTAACAGTCACAACCTCAACAGAATGGCTGACAGATAAAAACTACAGTGTAAATTGCTATTTAGCATTGGGTTATTGAATGTTTGTTGGTTTGCTGTTTTTGGTTTTTGTTTGTTTTCTTTTTTCTCTTTTATTTTCCTGGGTGGGAGGAAGGCTGGGCTCATAGGGATCACTCTACTAAGCATGATTCAATGCAATTGTTCAGCAAAAAAGATAGCAAGTTAAGAGCCACAGTTGAATACAGGAAGAAAAATCACAAAACTATATACATGACAGACATATGAACTGAGTCAGAAAGACCTGGATTGAAAACCAGACTCTTCTCATTTGTTGGTAATCTTGGAATCGGAATCTGTAAAATAGAAACAATAAGCTTGGAGCTGTAAGGAGAAGTAAATGAAATAATATGCAAAAAGTACTTAACACAGAATCTGGCATACAGTAAGCACTAAGAGAACCTCACTTACAATAATGACTTTTGTATTATCCCCAAAGGGAAAGAATTTGAAAGAAAGACATGACATAGCCACAAGTAAAAAATAATATATAAGCTATAAATGAAGCCAAGGAATACACAAAAATGTGTTCTTCCATCAAAAGAAATTCCATGCCTTAACCTTCAGATGAGGAAAGCAAAGGTTTTGTGAGTGGGTATTTTGAGTAGATAACACCTGAACATGTGCAGCTGATGTCTTATCCTACCTAAGTCCCATTTTGCATTATCCCCAAAGCAAAACAGCTAGAATGAGCACCCTGGAATAGCCTGAAGAGTACATACAATAACACCCCTGCCACAAGCTAAAGGCAAGAACAGAACTTGGTTTACCACTGCATTAGTTAGGAGCCGCAGTCTGATGAGTGAAGCAGCCTAGGGCAAGCATTCAAAGGTTGAAGTTCTTTGAGACACATCTTCCCTGAAAAGTTTTTCTGGGGGAGGGGCCTTGTGTTAGAGAGATAGCAGGTTTCTTGACCCCTTGGGAACTCCAGTGGGTAGGGGAAGCTACACATTTGAGGCAAATTTTACCCTAAACCATATTTCTTATTCTTATCCAAAACTTGATTCAGGAAAAGAATAGGATGCAGAAGACAGTAAAAGGAGAGGAAATCTGTGCTCTCTCATTCAGATGGGCAACCTACTAGGATCTAGTCTGTTGAATATTGTATGTGCCTTGGTCATGAAGATCAGATGACATATGGAGCAGGTGCAGGGGGATATTATATTTATCTTAAAAGAAATGGGTAATGGCAGTGTTAATAAGGTTGGGATAAAAATGAACTATTGTTATTCTGGGGGGGAAAAAAGGAAGAGAAGCTTTAAATTCTGGAAAACAAAAGATGCTGCCCCCTGATTCTGAGGGGTGGAGGGGTGTGGAAAGGTGTAGAAGGGCCGGGCACAGTGGCTCACATCTGTAATCTGGCACTTTGGGAGGCCGAGGTGGGTGGATCAGTTGAGGTCAGGAGTTCAAGACCAACCTGGCCAACATGGTGAAACCCTATTTCTACTAAAATTACAAAAATTAGCCAGGCATGGTGGCACATGCCTGTAGTCCCAGCTACTTGGGAGACTGAGGCAGGAGAATCACTTGAACCCGGAAGACGGAGGTTGGAGTGAGCCAAGATTGCACCACTGCACTCCAGCCTGGGTGACAAAGTGAGACTCTGTCCCCCCACCCCAAAAAAGAGGGGTGTGGAAATAGCTCATTAGAAGTAGAAATAATCTTCTAACACATGAGATCCTTTTCAAAGTTAAGGCTCCTAAGTTTGGGCTTGGGGTCCGTGACTGCTAAAAGTAACTACTTAATATATTAAAACAGTCACTCTCAGTTCTGCACTTGTGCTATTCATAAACATTCATTAAGTTTCAGGAAATGGCCTTTGCAACATGTGATAAGCAATGGAGTTGTTCACAAATATAACTACTCCGCAACCAGGTGTGAGGATTGCCCTTCCCTGTCCTCTTAGATGTGGCCCTGTGACTTGCTTTACTTAATGAACAGAAGTAATAAGTGTCACTTTCTGGCAGGAACTTTGAGTTGGTTTGTGACTTACTACATCTTCTTTCCTTGCTTTGGTAATTATAGAAAAAAGTATCAGGGTGGATCCTCCACCATCCCGAGTCCCTAAATAGTTACAATAATCAGGACACACCTGCTGACTTGAGACGGATATGCAATGTGAACAACAATACTTTCATTATGTTGAGCCATTAACCTTTGGATGATTTTTAAAATTATATCATGTTTTTAGCTTAAACCTGCCTAATCTGACTAACCCAGAAGTTGGTACTGTGAGTGAGGTAGTCCCTAATGAAGTCCTAAAACATGGAAGCTCGTGTCAAAATAAATTCTCCATAAGCCTATTTTCTGAGTGGCCAAGATGAACAGAACATGTAGCATGAGAAGGAATAAATGTTTCCAGATTACTCTGCTAAGATTTTTGGGTTATTTATTAACATAGCATGGATTTACCCTATGTTGATTAATATATTATGCTTTGAAATACTAAAGAAGAAAACCGTGCTCGTTCTTAGGTTAAATAAACGCGGAGAGAAAGACATGTATTCACTGTCTATTGGTGCATAATAAAGCACTCTTAATATTAATAGAAAGGGCTATATAGGAGCCCTTATGAGTACTGGAAATATCCTACAACTGATCAGGGAAGTAGTTACATATATGTACATACAGTCATGGGTCTGAGTCATGTGGGGACACATTCTGAGAAATGCATCATCTATTTTGACGTTTTATGAACGCTGAGTACATATGGACACAAAGAAGGGAATAACAGACACCGGAGCCTATTGAGCATGGAGGGAGGGAGAAGGGTAAGGATCAAAAAACTACCTATTGGGTGCTATGCTAATCACTTGGCTTATGAAACAATCTTTACACCAAACCCTCAAGACATGCAATTTATCTGTATAACAAATCTGCACATGTACCCTTTTAACCTAAAAGTTAAAAAAAAGAAAGAAAAAAAGAGAAAGTATCAATACATTCAAAGTTGGTGGTCATATGGTCCATATTTCCTGACAATAATGTAATAAACATAATCAATAAGAAAATGGATTGTGAAAAAAACCCACCTAATATGAGTGCATGTGTTAGATATTTAAGAATCCCTGACATTAAACAGCTTTACTATTTATCAAAATTCCATTTCATAGATGAGTACATTTGCTTCTGTTCATTGTCTCCTAAAGTAAGCAGACTCTGTATTCTCCCTCTTTCACAGTCGTGAGATTGCACCTAGGATCCACAGCTTATGCAAGACTAGTGTGACTCATAAACAGAAAAGAAAACTCAAGTTCACTAAATTTTACTTTCTCCTGCAAAGGTCTTCAGATGGGTCAGAATTGCCAAACCCCTTGAGTTTCTGATGACCATGTTTCAAAACCATTATTTTCAGTGAACAAGTCTAAATTTAGCTGGTGATTTTTTTATATTATCATTTAAAAAAAGAATCTCATAATATTACTGAATAACTGAATTACTGGATACTTAAGCACAACTACCTAAATCTTACCTTTAGCCACAGACTCTTCAAAACCATGACCTCTTTTATGCCTTTAAGTGACAATTTGGTTCACACAGAGGCCCAGGTAACATCTAAGCAATAATATTATTCTCAGTGCTTGTCATCTTTTCATTTACCTCACTATCAAGTTCTATTCTAGTGTCAATGCCAGTTTTCTCTTTCTCTGTTTCTTCCACATTCCTCCTTGGAAACCTTTTAATCAAAGGTGTTCTCCAAAGTGTGGAGAGGAAGCAGGATGACTTGAAGCCCTTTAAACCACTTGAGGAATTCCCCTCCACACTTCTTGCTTTCAGAAAGGAGTCCTCAAATCTAAAAGGATAGCTTTAAAGCTTTACACATAGCTGGCAACCATGACCCTTTTCATTTAGTTTGCCTCAATTTTTAAGTGCACTTTTCTCTATTTTTAGACCAAAAGCAACACACTGTCTCTAAGGCTTTCATTTCTTACTTTTATTTTATTTTCTACCTCTCTTATTTTTTATTTTCACTAAGCCTTTTTGTTAAGCACACTTCTCTGTTCTACATTCATATCCTCAAGAAGTAAAGAAGTAACTGGGGAAAAGAAGGATGAGGAGAAAAAGGAAAAAAAAAGAATGGGGAAAAGTAAGTATTGTGATAAATTATTTAGAGTAAACAGGAACTGTGAGAAGAGTGAATAATAACGTTTTGAATGGATTTTAGTGTATGTAATGGGAAGAGAACATAAAGAAAGAAAAAAGAATCACAGCGAGAGTAAATAGAGCAGAATAAAATAGTAAAATGGAGTTAGGATTCACTTGGTGGTGTGATCATCAACTAAGTTTATAAATTGTTACTATTGGGCAAACCGCTGGGCTTGGGAAACATTGCCAAGAGAAAATGCTTATTCTGAAAACAAATTCAAAAGTAATCCCATTTACAATAGCCACACATAAAATTAAATTCCTAGGAATTAAGTTAACCAAAGAAATGAAAGCTCTCTCTAATGAAAACAATTAAACACTGATGAAAGAAATGGAAGAGAACACCAAAAAAAATCATATTCCATGTTCAT
The DNA here is from genome assembly GCF_000001405.40 of Homo sapiens. Classification (NCBI taxonomy): domain Eukaryota; kingdom Metazoa; phylum Chordata; class Mammalia; order Primates; family Hominidae; genus Homo; species Homo sapiens. The sequence continues at coordinate 90,166,577 of NC_000010.11, read as the reverse complement.
GGATTGGAAGAAGTAATATTACTAAAATGTCCATGCTACCCAAAAGCAATCTACAGATTCAATGCAATCCCTATGAAAATACTAATGACATTCTTCACAGAATAAATGATCATAAAATTTATATGAAATCACAAAAGGCCCAGAATAGCCAAAGGTATCCTAAGCAAAAGGAACAAAACTGGAGGAATCACATTACCTGACTTCAAATTATACTACAGAGCTATAGTAACCAAAACAGCATGGTACTAGCATAAAAACAGACACATAGACCAACAGAACAGAATAGAGAACCCAGAAATGAATCCACACACCTACAGTGAACTCATTTTTGAGAAAAGTGCCAAGAACATACACTGGGGAAAAGACAGTCTCATCAATAACTGGTGCTGAGAAAACTTGATATCCATATGCAGAACAATACAACTAGACCCCTATCTCTTGCCTCAAAAATCAAATCAAAAGTAATTAAAGAATTAAATCTAAGATCTCAAACTATGAAACTACCACCAGAAAATATTGGGGAAAATCTCCAGGACATTGGTCTGGGCAAAATTTCTTCAGTAGTATAATACCTCACAAGCACAGGCAACCAAAGCAAAAATGAGCAGATAGGATCAATCAAGTTAAAAAGCTTCTGCACAGCAAAGGATACAATCAACAAAGTGAAGACACAGCTCACAGAATGGGAGAAAAGATTTGAAAACTACGCATCTGACAAGGGATTAATACCCAGAATATACAAGGAGCTCAAACAATCTACAGAAAAAAAAAATTTAATAATCCAATCAAAAAATGGGCTAAAGATTTGAATAGACATTTATCAAAAGAAGACATAGAAATAGCAAACAAGCATATGAAAAGGGGCTCTACATCACTGATCATCAGAGAAATGCAAATCAAAACTACGAGATATTATCTCACCCCAGTTAAAATGGCCTATATCCAAAAGACAGGCAATAACAAATGCTGGTGAAGATGTAGAGAAAAGAAAACCCTCATAAACTGTTCCTGGGAATGTAAATTAGTACAACCACTGTGGAGAACAGTTTGGAGTTCCTCAAAAAACTAAAAATTGAGCTACCATATCATTCATCAATCTCACTGCTGGGTATATGCCCAAAAGAAAGGAAATCCATACACTGAAGATATATCTGCAGCTCTGTGTTTGTTGCAGTACTGTTCATAATAGTTAAGATGTGGAAGCAACGTAAGTGCCCATCAACAGATGAATGGAACAACAAAAGTGGTACATACATTATTCAGTACTATTCAGCCAAAATAAATGAAATCCAGTCATTTGTAACAACATGGATGGAACTGGAGACCATTATGTTAAGTGAAATAAGCCAAGAACAGAAAGACAAACATTGCATATTCTCACTTATTTGTGGTATCTAAAAATCAAAACAATTAAACTTATGAACATAGAGAGTAGAAAGATGGTTACCAGAAGCCAAGAAGGGTAGTAGGGGGCCAAGTGGGGTAAATATGGGAATGGTTAATGGGTACAAAAAGTAGTTAGAAAGAACAAATAAGACCTAGTATGTAATAGGACAACAGGGTGACTATAGGCAATAATAACTTAATTGTACATTTTAAAATAACTTTAATAATGTAATTGAATGGTTTGTAAGGTTCAATTGAATGGTTTGTAATTGAATGGTTTATCGAAGGATAAATGCTCCAGGGGATGGATACCTCATTCTCTCTGATGTGCTTATTTCACATTGCATGCCTGTGTTACAACATCTCATGTTTGATATATTTACCATATATATATACACACACACACACAAACACACCGATACACCGACTATGTACCCACAAAAATTAAAAATTAAAAAAACTTAAAAAGAAAATGCTTACCCTTATGACACATAACAACTTGCAACTTCTCATTGCATTTTTTAGTGAAAATGAAACGTCTGATTCTACTTACTTCAATAAAAATAGCTTTGATACAAGTGAGCAGTGCAACTGATAGGGACAGCAACCAAAACAATGACTCAGTTTCTTCTCACCTGAAAACTCTGTGACTTAACTTACAAAACCATACTGTTTTATAATTACTTTTGTATCTAATGTAATGTACATTTGGAACAAGATCCCTCTTTGACTCATATCAACACAATTATTTCAGGCAGGAAAATGCCTGACTACTCAAATTCTTCTTCCCTTTGTTTCTGGTGTGTATTAAGTGGTTAATATATACATTCCTTTATACTACATGCTAAAAATGGCTTTAAAATAAACAGCCTTATTTCTTGTACCTCTGCTTCAATTTTAGTTTCAGAGAAAACAAACAAATAACAATGTAATCTGATATACAATTGCAGTGGACCTACATTGTTATCTGTTTTTTACCCTTCCTTCTATTTTCTAGTAACAGCATTCCTCTCTGCCTTGGAAGAACTGGCTCTCTCATTCTGGTGAATCCCTACCTGGTTGTGGCAGGGCCTCCAGAACAGTTATCCTCTTCCTGTAAGCCCATTCTGTGTGAAGGGGAACCACCGACACAAACATCACCAATTTGGTCCACTCTTCAGCAGACACACACTTGAAGTATAGCAAGGGAAATGACCGATGTCACTGTGTGTGATTCAAAAGTCCATGTTTAGGATGGGAAGATGATCTGGCTGCGACATCTGTTACCCCATTGATTCGGCTGATCTGGCTGGGTTGATTGGGCTGATCCAGCTGGCTAGGCGAGTGACCCCTTCCTCTGTCACCGTGCCATGTGTGTCCCTCCCGAAGCTGTGGACTCAGTGAAAGAAATCGATCATCCCCGATAGAAGAGGACCGGTTTTCCGTCAAAGGAATACGAGTAGCTGCACTATTCTGCTAGAACCTCCAAACAAGCTCTCAAAAATCCATGTTTAACTTGATTTTTCTACCGTAAACCTCATCTATTTTTTAAATTCAACAATTCAACAATGCTTAGCCCTCACACTTTTTTTTTTCTTTTTGGAGACAGTCTCACTCTGTTGTGAAGTGACTGAAGTGCAGTGGCGCAATCTTGGTTCACCGCAACCTCCGCCTCCTGGGTTCAAGCGATTCTCCTGCCTCAGCCTACTGAGTAGCTGGGATTACAGGCATGCACCATCACTCCTGGCTAATTTTTGTATTTTTAGTAGAGAAGAGGTTTTGTCATGTGGCCAGGCTGGTCTCAAATTCCTGACCTCAGGTGATCCGCCTGCCTCAGCCTCCCAAAGTGCTGAGATTACAGGTGGAGACACCATGCCTAGCCAGCCCTCACGCTTTTTAAACAACCATGTGAAAAGTCACAACAGAACGTTAATCTACGTTTTTTCTATTCTTACACATGCTCTACAGGTTGAAGAAACCTGCTCCCACCAAGAGAAGACAATTCTGCACTAGTAACAGCACAGTCCTGCCCGGGTTTGCCTGGAGTGAAAGATATTTATGAATTAATGGCCAAAAGCAACAGAGGTATTACAGATAAGAATGAGAAAAACATAAATAGTTAACTAGCTTAAGTCAATCGTTTAATAATGTACACATATATGTGAACATTACTTTGCACACCGTGTGTACAATTTTTATTTATCAATTAAGGAAAAAATAAGAAATAACAGATTAAATCTTGTATGCACTGTTATACCAGAATAGAAGAATGGTTACAGTTCAAATGAGCAGCTCAAGGTATGGTTTTCAAAACAATCATTCACAGTTCATAAAAACACTTAGGAATCCTTTCCCAAAAAATTATTTTTATATACATACAATTCACAATCTTGATGAAGTAGAATTATTTAACTATTCACCCACAAAATTGCCTAACAGTCTTATGACTGGATGTATCCAAATAAGTCATTGAATCCTGAAACTTGCAAACCTGACTATGCACCACAGTCATCTGTGGAATTTTTTTAAACTTCAATTTCCAATTCCATCTGCCCTTTATTATTTTTTTTAACAAATTCCATATGTAATTAGGATGTACATGCAGGCTTGAGAATTACTGGTGCAGTCCATTTCTTACCAAATTGTTAATCTTCCATCTTGAGAAATTGAAACTCCAGAAGTGCAGATGTTTGCAGTAAGAGTCGCCTTCTTACTTATCATTTAAGCATTTCATTTTAAGAACACGGAGGCTCTCCCTGATGGTTATAAGCTGCTGAGACCATTTTGTGGGTATGAAGTACATTACTAGAGCAGTTATATGTTGGCTGTGGGGCTTTATTTTGTATGATAGTAAAACTATGAATCAGAAGCACCAAATCTTTCAACTACTCCTTAAATGTAAAATACTGGGTAAATTTCACTTTTTAAAAAATGGTATTAATTTTTTCAGATGAGTTGGGGACCATCTGATAAAATTTAGCATGTATGGTGAGAGTCAAAAATGAAATTTTTTTTTCCCCCAGAACAAGTTGAATTTAACTTTTTGAGAGTAGTGAGTTATTAAAACTCTGGCCTTGGCAGAGAGAGAGAAAGTGGAGATTCTTCCCCACTAAGGAGAGGAGAAACATAGCAGGAAATGCACAGGCAGGAGGAGAGCAATTCACGTACATCTCAGACAGAACCTGTCGATCCCCCGACCCTTCTTTGTTTCCTACTTCCTACATTAAAGTCATTGCCCAATCACACCACTCTTTCCCACTGCAATGCCTTTGAAGATTCTTTACCTGTTCCTTGAGGAACTACTTGACTTTTAAGACCCAGGTAGAATGTTTTGTCTTCTGTGGGGGTTTATTCTGTTCTCCTGGTCTTTCTTTTTCCCCTCAAGGTCTCTATTGAGCTCATAAAACATTTGCGGTGTAACTATTTGGTTCCATCTCAGCCTTCCCAATGATTATCAATTACATGAGAATATCTCTGTATTTCCAATTCCTAGCACAGTGCCTGGCATCCAGAAAATGCTGAGTAAATTACTCATTGAATAATTAAGAAATTTTTTAAAAATTAAATTTCCATTTCACTAGACCTAATTTGCTCTAATTGCCTTGAAAAGTGGCAGCCAGAGAGGGAGAGCTAGGTGTCCCCTTGGGGTCCACGATACCACAATAAGTCTGCTGACTTTTTGAAACAAGAGACCTAAGTCTCGGTCTGGCATCTGCATTCAGCAACTTGCCGACAGAATTTTGTGACTGAGTTGCTGTGGTTTGGATCCAAGAAGAGACAGAGAGGAAGCCTGTAATGAAAAACCCAGGAGTGTGTTACCAGGTGAGCCAAATGACAAGTCTCAAAACCTAAGCGTGTCAGCTGTAGTCTGAGAGTAGACATTGGTCCTGCCTCAAGATCAAGAGGAAGGCTGGGGTCAAAGGTCAGGGACATAGCCATTGATCTCAGGAGAGAAACTATATAGGGTACAGAATACTGGAAAAAATGGTCTAGTATTCCTAGGGCCAAGAGACTGAAATAGCCAGAACTATTTTGTTAGAAGTGCTAAAATCCCATAACAAATGTAACTACAAAAGAAGACGTGGAGGAATACTGTTTTTTCCTTTGGAACCCAAAGTCCCCAATGAGTGTCTTTATAATTTACCATACTGTCTCTTTTCCCCACTAGACTGTGAGTCCTTCAATAAACCCACTTCAGCTAATTCCTCATTCCATCTCCAAGATAGAGAATGGATGCATAAGTAACCCAGCACATTGTTTGACACTTAGTTTATAACAACTTTATTTCTGCTGCCACACTGACCTCTAAGAATGAGGAAGCCTCTAGCTTATATCCTCTAAGTCCTAGAGCTAAAGACTAGATTTTAACCCAATGTGTTTTACCAACTTCAGGTTATTTCTAGGAGTTCCTTCATTCTGTTGTTTTATTTTTTTTATTTTTTTTTGAATTTGCAAAACAGTTTATTGCGGGGTTCACAAGGCACTTCAGTTCAGGAAACCTGAAGGGGTATGGAGACTGATGAGGACAGATGCTGATACCCAGGGTACATTTTAAGACATTTTTCTCCTTAATCTGTCTGCTGACTAGAATGTCATAGATTGTAGAAATGAATAGATATGGAGAGAATAGGGAAAAAAAACACAGAAAGACTACTTTTTTCTGGGTGATGATATATTCAAGCAATATTTTATCTAGTGTCTGAGCAAGTAAAAGCTTATTCAATTACACTACAATTTTGAAAGGAAATCTGCTGCTGTACAGACTTCTCATTTCTCCAGACAAGCTTCAATGTGCTGGCTGGTGTTTGCTACAGCACCTCTGATACAGTGCAAGATTTCTAAGTGGCAGAATGATATCACCGTTTTGCAGAAGTTAGCTGCACTTTTATTGAAAAAAAAAAAAGCTATCTGGTGAGATTGAGCAGTAACTGCATATGCATGAAATGCCCTAGTAGTCAAAGAACTGGAAAGTCTCTACTTTATGAAATTGACTTACACAGTAAAGAATGAAAATTCCTTCTTTTCTCCTAACATTAAATATCATTAAATGGGCACTATAAAATATCATTACTTTCCTTTCTTGCTTTTTATTGCTACTAGTCAAGACATAAGGTTATTCTTGACAGTAAATGAACATCTCCTCCTGTAGCATTTCTTCAAAAGGAGAATATCGAATTCTTAGTTATCTCCTCATTCATTCCATGTGTTTAATCCATTGATTGGTATTTTATGGCAGATATTGGATATGGAAAGATGAATAAGTCAGAGTACTGAACTTCAGGGAGCTCAAAGTCTACTAAGAGAAAATAGACCAAATAAATAGCCAGCATATACTATCACGAGTGCAACAATAAAGATTTTACAATGTAATGTGGTATCACAAAAGAAGAAATCTCTACCTTTTCCTGGGTGGGGAGATGGGATTTGGGAGGGCTAGTCTTGTCCAGAAATTATCATGGGAAATTCACCTGCAATGCATTGGGAATTTTGGAGGCACTCACTCTCTGGGGCCTCCTAAGGTGAATATATTTCTATTCAAATAGTAAATTAATAAAATGGTTGTGTAATACAAACTATACATGATTCTGATAAAATGAAGATCTTGAATTTATTCATTTGGCATGAACTATACCAACAGTCTGGACAAACTAGGCCCAACAAATAAATTACTAATTTAATTCACACAAAAGCAAGGTGCCTTAACCCAATCACTATAGAAATTGTTTCTCCAGGAGGGGAGGAGCCAAGATGGCCGAATAGGAACAGCTCTGGTCTACAGCTCCCAGCGTGAGCAACGCAGAAGACGGGTGATTTCTGCATTTCCATCTGAGGTACCGGGATCATCTCACTAGGGAGTGCCAGACAGTGGGCGCAGGTCAGTGGCTGCACGCACCATGCGCGAGCAAAGCAGGGTGAGGCACTGCCTCACTCGGGAAGCGCAAGGGGTCAGGGAGTTCCCTTTCCTAGTCAAAGAAAGGGGTGACGGATGGCACCTGGAAAATCGGGTCACTCCCACCCGAATACTGCGCTTTTCCGACGGGCTTAAAAAACGGCGCACCACGAGATTATATCCTGCACCTGTCTCAGAGGGTCCTATGGCCGCGGAGTCTCGCTGATTGCTAGCACAGCAGTCTGAGATCAAACTGCAAGGCGGCAGTGAGGCTCGGGGAGGGGCGCCCACCATTGCCCAGGCTTGCTTAGGTAAACAAAGCAGCCTGGAAGCTCGAACTGGGTGGAGCCCACCACAGCTCAAGGAGGCCTGCCTGCCTCTGTAGGCTCCACCTCTGGGGGCAGGGCACAGACAAACAAAAAGACAGCAGTAACCTCTGCAGACTTAAATGTCCCTGTCTGACAGCTTTGAAGAGAGCAGTGGTTCTCCCAGTACGCAGCTGGAGATCTGAGAACGGGCAGACTGCCTCCTCAAGTGGGTCCCTGACCCCTGACCCCCGAGCAGCCTAACTGGGAGGCACCCCCAAGCAGGGGCACACTGACACCTCACACTGCAGGGTACTCCAACAGACCTGCAGCTGATGGTCCTGTCTGTTAGAAGGAAAACTAACAAACAGAAAGGACATCCACACCAAAAACCCATCTGTACATCACCATCATCAAAGACCAAAAGTAGATAAAACCACAAAGATGGGGAAAAAACAGAACAGAAAAACTGGAAACTCTAAAAAGCAGAGCACCTCTCCTCCTCCAAAGGAACGCAGTTCCTCACCAGCAACGGAACAAAGCTGGACGGAGAATGACTTTGACGAGCTGAGAGAAGAAGGCTTCAGAAGATCAAATTACACCGAGCTACGGGAGGACATTCAAACCAAAGGCAAAGAAGTTGAAAACTTTGAAAAAAATTTAGAAGAATGTATAACTAGAATAACCAATACAGAGAAGTGCTTAAAGGAGCTGATGGAGCTGAAAACCAAGGCTCGAGAACTACGTGAAGAATGCAGAAGCCTCAGGAGCTGATGCGATCAACTGGAAGAAAGGGTATCAGCAATGGAAGATGAAATGAATGAAATGAAGCGAGAAGGGAAGTTTAGAGAAAGAAGAATAAAAAGAAATGAGCAAAGCCTCCAAGAAATATGGGACTATGTGAAAAGACCAAATCTACGTCTGATTGGTGTACCTGAAAGTGAGGGGGAGAATTGAACCAAGTTGGAAAACACTCTGCAGGATATTATCCAGGAGAACTTCCCCAATCTAGCAAGGCAGGCCAACGTTCAGATTCAGGAAATACAGAGAACGCCACAAAGATACTCCTCGAGAAGAGCAACTACAAGACACATAATTGTCAGATTCACCAAAGTTGAAATGAAGGAAAAAATGTTAAGGACAGCCAGAGAGAAAGGTCGGGTTACCCTCAAAGGGAAGCCCATCAGACTAACAGTGGATCTCTCGGCAGAAATGCTACAAGCCAGAAGAGAGTGGGGGCCAATATTCAACATTTTTAAAGAAAAGAATTTTCAATCCAGAATTTCATATCCAGCCAAACTAAGCTTCATAAGTGAAGGAGAAATAAAATACTTTACAGACAAGCAAATGCTGAGAGATTTTGTCACCACCAGGCCTGCCCTAAAAGAACTCCTGAAGGAAGCACTAAACATGGAAAGGAACAACTGGTACCAGCCGCTGCAAAATCATGCCAAAATGTAAAGACCATTGAGACTAGGAAGAAACTGCATCAACTAACGAGCAAAATAACCAGCTAACATCATCAGGACAGGATCAAATTCGCACATAACACATTAACTTTAAATGTCAATGGACTAAATGCTCCAATTAAAAGACACAGACTGGCAAATTGGATAAAGAGTCAAGACCCATCAGTGTGCTGTATTCAGGAAACCCATCTCACGTGCGGAGACACACAGAGGCTCACAATAAAAGGATGGAGGAAGATCTACCAAGCAAATGGAAAACAAAAAAAGGCAGGGGTTGCAATCCTAGTCTCTGATAAAACAGACTTTAAACCAACAAAGATCGAAAGAGACAAAGAAGGCCATTACTTCATGGTAAAGGGATCAATTCAACAAGAAGAGCTAACTATCCTAAATATATATGCACCCAATACAGGAGCACCCAGATTCATAAAGCAAGTCCTGAGTGACCTACACAGAGACTTAGACTCCCACACATTAATAATGGGAGACTTTAACACCCCACTGTCAACATTAGACAGATCAATGAGACAGAAAGTCAACAAGGATACCCAGGAATTGAACTCAGCTCTGCACCAAGCAGACCTAATAGACATCTACAGAACTCTCCACCCCAAATCAATAGAATATACATTTTTTTCAGCACCACACCACAACTATTCCAAAATTGACCACATACTTGGAAGTAAAGCTCTCCTCAGCAAATGTAAAAGAACAGAAATTAAAACAAACTATCTCTCAGACCACAGTGCAATCAAACTAGAACTCAGGATTAAGAATCTCACTCAAAACCGCTCAACTACATGGAAACTGAACAACCTGCTCCTGAATGCCTACTGGGGACATAACGAAATGAAGGCAGAAATAAAGTTGTTCTTTGAAACCAACGAGAACAAAGACACAACATACCAGAATCTCTGGGACGCTTTCAAAGCAGTGTGTAGAGGGAAATTTATAGCACTAAATGCCCACAAGAGAAAGCAGGAAAGATCCAAAATTGACACCCTAACATCACAATTAAAAGAACTAGAGAATCAAGAGCAAACACATTCAAAAGCTAGCAGAAGGCAAGAAATAACTAAAATCATAGCAGAACTGAAGGAAATAGAGACACAAAAAAACCCTTCAAAAAAATCAATGAATCCAGGAGCTGGTTTTTTGAAAGGATCAACAAAATAGATAGACCGCTAGCAAGACTAATGAAGAAAAAAAGAGACAATAATCAAATAGACGCAATAGAAAATGATAAAGGGGATATCAGCACCGATCCCACAGAAATATAAACTACCATCAGAGAATACTACAAACACCTCTACACAAATAAACTAGAAAATCTAGAAGAAATGGATAAATTCCTCGACACATACACCCTCCCAAGACTAAACCAGGAAGAAGTTGAATCTCTGAATAGACCAATAACAGGCTCTGAAATTGTGTCAATAATCAATAGCTTACCAACCAAAAAGAGTCCAGGACCAGATGGATTCACAGCCGAATTCTACCAGAGGTACAAGGAGGAACTGGTACCATTCCTTCTGAAACTATTCCAATCAATAGAAAAAGAGGGAATCCTCCCTAACTCATTTTATGAGGCCAGCATCATTCTGATACCAAAGCCAGGCAGAGACACAACCAAAAAAGAGAATTTTAGACCAATATCCTTGATGAACATTGATGCAAAAATCCTCAATAAAATACTGGCAAAACGAATCCAGCAGCACATCAAAAAGCTTATCCACCTTGATCAAGTGGGCTTCATCCCTGGGATGCAAGGCTGGTTCAATATACACAAATCAATAAATGTAATCCAGCATATAAACAGAGCCAAAGACAAAAACCACATGATTATCTCAATAGATGCAGAAAAGGCCTTTGACAAAATTCAACAACGCTTCATGCTAAAAACTCTCAATAAATTAGGTATTCATGGGACGTATTTCAAAATAATAAGAGCTATCTATGACAAACCCACAGCCAATATCATACTGAATGGGCAAAAACTGGAAGTATTCCCTTTGAAAACTGGCACAAGACAGGGATGCCCTCTCTCACCACTCCTATTCAACATAGTGTTGGAAGTTCTGGCCAGGGCAATTAGGCAGGAGAGGGAAATAAAGGGTACTCAATTAGGAAAAGAGGAAGTCAAATTGTCCCTGTTTGCAGATGACATGATTGTATATCTAGAAAACCCCATTGTCTCAGCCCAAAATCTCCTTAAGCTGATAAGCAACTTCAGCAAAGTCTCAGGATTCAAAATCAATGTACAAAAATCACAAGCATTCTTATACACCAACAACAGACAGAGAGCCAAATCATGAGTGAACTCCCATTCACAATTGCTTCAAAGAGAATAAAATACCTAGGAATCCAACTTACAAGGGATGTGAAAGACCTCTTCAAGGAGAACTACAAACCACTGTTCAATGAAATAAAAGAGAATACAAACAAATGGAAGAACATTCCATGATCATGGGTAGGAAGAATCAATATCATGAAAATGGCCATACTGCCCAAGGTAATTTACAGATTCAATGCCATCCCCATCAAGCTACCAATGCCTTTCTTCACAGAATTGGAAAAAACTACTTTAAAGTTCATATGGAACCAAAAAAGAGCCCACATCGCCAAGTCAATCCTAAGCCAAAAGAACAAAGCTGGAGGCATCACACTACCTGACTTCAAACTATACTACAAGGCTACAGTCACCAAAACAGCATGGTACTGGTACCAAAACAGAGATATAGATCAATGGAACAGAACAGAGCCCTCAGAAATAACACTGCATATCTACAACTATCTGATCTTTGACAAACCTGAGAAAAACAAGCAATGGGGAAAGGATTCCCTATTTAATAAATGGTGCTGGGAAAACTGGCTAGCCATATGTAGAAAGCTGAAACTGGATCCCTTCCTTACACCTTATACAAAAATCAATTCAAGATGGATTAAAGACTTAAACGTTAGACCTAAAACCATAAAAACCCTAGAAGAAAACCTGGGCATTACCATTCAGGACATAGGCATGGGCAAGGACTTCATGTCTAAAACACCAAAAGCAATGGCAACAAAAGCCAAAATTGACAAATGGGATCTAATTAAACTAAAGAGCTTCTGCACAGCAAAAGAAACTACCATTAGAGTGAACAGGCAACCTACAAAATGGGAGAAAATTTTCACAACCTACTCATCTGACAAAGGGCTAATATCCAGAATCTACAATGAACTCAAACAAATTTACAAGAAAAAAGCAAACAAGCCCATCAAAAAGTGGGTGAACGACATGAACAGACACTTCTCAAAAGAAGACATTTATGCAGCCAAAAAACACATGTAAAAATGCTCATCATCACTGGCCATCAGAGAAATGCAAATCAAAACCACAATGAGATACCATCTCACACCAGTTAGAATGGCAATCATTAAAAAGTCAGGAAACAACAGGTGCTAGAGAGGATGTGGAGAAATAGGAACACTTTTACACTGTTGGTGGGACTGTAAACTAGTTCAACCATTGTGGAAGTCAGTGTGGTGATTCCTCAGGGATCTAGAACTAGAAATACCATTTGACCCAGGCTTCCCATTACTGGGTATATACCCAAAGGACTATAAATCATGCTGCTATAAAGACACATGCACACGTATGTTTATTGTGGCATTATTCACAATAGCAAAGACTTGGAACCAACCCAAATGTCCAACAATGATAGACTGGATTAAGTAAATGTGGCATATATACACCACGGAATACTATGCAGCCATAAAAAATGATGAGTTCATGTCCTTTGTAGGGACATGTATGAAACTGGAAATCATCATTCTCAGTAAACTATCACAAGAACAAAAAACCAAACACCACATGTTCTCACTCACAGGTGGGAATTGAACAATGAGATCACATGGACACAGGAAGGGGAACATCACACTCTGGGGACTGTTGTGGGGTGGTGGGAGTGGGGAGGGATAGCATTGGGAGATATACCTAATGCTAAATGACGAGTTAGTGGGTGCAGCACACCAGCATGGCACATGTATACATATGTAACTAACCTGCACAATGTGCACATGTACCCTAAAACTTAAAGTATAATAATAATAAAAAAAAAGAAATTGTTTCTCCAGACTTTAATCACCTTAATTCCAGGTTTGCTCCCCTCTGAGCAAAATGGCAAAGAAGGTTTAGTAACAAGGGGGTAAGCCCTGATGTAGTTAAGTTGGTAAGCATTAGGGCACAATGACAGTAGGAAACTTGGACACGAAAATCAGGACATCAGGCATACAAATGGGTGAGAATTTCTTTTGGAAAATTTCTTTGGAAAATTGTAAAATTGGTACACCTGAAAGTTGGATGATACGACTTGTTTTCCATTATAGCCGGAAGCATATGGCTGTTTAATCTTTGATCCAGATCATTATGATTGGATTGCATGCATAATGGAAGCAGGGAGAGTCCACTGGCCTCATTCACAGAAATTAAGGATGTTTTGGAGTTCTTTAGGATGCTAGTACAGGGATGAAGAAGATGGGAGAGCTATTTTCTTACTGGAGTTCCCTAGATTTTCTTTTCTGACTCTGACTTGCTCCTCAGTTCCAACCTACTGAAAAGAATTTTAACAGTCACTACCCAGTGTCCATACCAAAGTGATTCATATCTATGAAGTAGATCATAAAACAATATTTCAGAAGAAATAATTCTAAGTTGTGGATTTCCCCCATTATCTAAGTAGCTATCACAAAAGATACTCAAATACATTTTTAATTTTAAAAAAGTTTAATTAAAAAATTAACACATACCATATAGCACTTTGAGGAAGTATGTGTTTTTAAGACGTAAGATGTTATAAAATCAGAAAGTGTTAAGATATTGAAAACTACAAAATCTTTATATTCTGAAGAAAACTAATTCCTACTAAAACAAAGATTCTGGTGATGCCCAGGAAGGCTGGGAGGCTCTGAGCTATCCCAACATGATAATATGTGGACAAATGGGCAATTTTATTATATAAGCACATGTTCATTGTAGAAAAAGTAGAGAATATCAAGAAGAAAGCAATAAAAAGGGAGCACCTATAATCCCAAAACCAATTAGATAACCATTAGTAACCTTTTAAAGTGTACTGTCTAGATGTTTTCATATGCATTAATTGTAAAAATAAGGGAGAAGGAATTCTACTCTATATAATTTTATAACCTGTTTTCATTAACTTGACAGCAATTTCAAGCCTAATGACATAGCACCATAGACATTATTTATGATTTATTTAACCTTATTGTTGGATTTCTGGATTTCTTTCCACTTTATCTCAATAATAAACACTTCCACAATGAACATGCTTGTAGGTTAATCTTTGTACACATCCTAAATTTTATTATGATAGATTTTTAGAATGTAATTGAGGAGACAAGGAATAGGAACTTTTTTAAGTTTGTCAAAACAGTTCCAAATTTCCCTACAGAAATTTGGTATCTGCAAAGTGTGAGACTGCTCGTACCCATAGTGTGGTTATTTGTACTGATGGAAACATTTTTCTCTTAATTTATGTCACTCATATTGCCACACATTCCAATAACCACTGAAGGATTCTTGGATGGTCCAAGAATATGGTTGAGAATAACGTTCATTTCCCTAGAAACCTTTCTTTTCCCTGACTAGTTACATATGGCTATCATACAATCCTTTTCAGATTTCCCCCAATCAGTTTTCAATGATTTAACACAGTTTAGAATATTTCAATTATGGGCCGGGTATGGTGGCTCACACCTGTAATCCCAGCACTTTGGGAGGCTGAGGCAGGCGGATCACTTGAGGCCAGGAGTTTGAAACCAGTCTGGCCAACATGGTGAAATCCCGTCTCTACCAAAAATACAAAAATTAGGCGGGCATGGTGGTACATGCCTGTAATCCCAGCTACTTGGGAGGCTGAGGTAGGAGAATCACTTGAAACCGGGAGGTGAAGGTTGATGTGTGCAGAGATTGTGCCACTGCACTCCAGCCTGCATGACACAACAAGACTCTGTCTCAAAAAACACCAAAACAAAACAAAAAAAAAAATCACTTCCGATTGTCCTCGCAATAGGCTACAAGTTACGCTAAATCTTTGGAATATTTCTTGATTAGAAAAAATTATACTGAGAACCAAATCTGAATGATTTAGCATTTAAATATCAACATTCACACACTGCACCATTCAAATTACATAAGAATTTGGTTTAAGGAAGAGATGCTTCAAAATGCTTTTGTTTCTCTTTAAAGCTAGTACTTGAGCATGTTTAAATGGTCATTTCATTAAAATCAATTAAATTGTTAATTTCCCTAGCCACAGAAGAAAACGTTAAGAGGAAAAGTCGATTTTCCATCAGTGGAGAAAATGACTGCAGTGCCATTTTTAACAACCAATTACAGCAGTTGTCCTCTGTAATACCTGGGCTGCAGTCTCCAACTGGATTCCTTCTGCTTCTTTTTCTTCCTTTCTTTTGATTTTTTTTTTTTGAGAGTAAAAAAGAAGACATTATAAGAGGCAATTCTGTCTAAGAAAAGGAAAGGATTTAAAAAGAGAGGGCTTCATTTCGAAGCATCCACAGGACACCATGGAAAGCTCCCAAGCACTTGAAAAGAAAATCTCACTCCACAGACAAAAATAAGGATAAAAATTTTCTTTGGATACAGCTAAGACAGGGGGTGGGGGATGAGAAAATCACAGTGCATTTTTAAAGCATGGGCTTTGCAAGCTGCATGCCCTCAAAGAAGTAACTTTAAAGAATTGAGGTGAATCCAGCAGGTGATCTTGTCACCTACTTTTTATTGTTTCATGATCTTTTAATTATGGTTAAGACATGGTGTCTGACCTCAAAGTACGCAAGTTCTACCATTTTGGCTGTTTGATGAGACATTTGTTCATCAAAGCACATTCCATGCCAAAGGCTAAGGATGCAGCTAACCTGACCCCGGAGTGAACTGAAAGAAGGAGACAGCACAGCCGTGGGTATCACAGACAATTTAACTTAGACTTGGATCTCTGAGTACCCAGACGCAGTTTTTGAATCATTCTGTAAACAACTTTACAAATCACAAATGTATTTTGAGTGTTTTCTCTTTACCCAAATGGATTCTCCACTCTCAAAATTTCACAGGCCCCAATTTGAACTTAAAGTCATACTTTAAATTATAGCCTATCAAATTATTAATTTATAAATCTTCCAGAGGAAAAAAGTATCTAAGACCTATCAGAGAGGTAACACAATTCAGGGTCTTTATAAAAATACCTTCTAAAATTTAGTATAAGAATAAAATAAAATAAGCCCTTTTCATTTACAAACTGTCCATTAAAGTAAATCATAAAAATAAATAACAAATGCAAACCATTTTTTTTCTTCAATGAATCAGCAATTTTTCATCTGCAAAATTGTCTTTACTTCTTTGGTAGCAAAACCAAGGTGATATCAAAAAAAAAAGAACAAAAAAGAGAACAAACAAAAAACTTGTTTTGTTTCTCACAACTACAAACAAAAACTACTTTTGATTTGTTTGCCAATTTGGCTGCAATTTGGTAAAGATATTCAATACCACTTAAAAGAGAAAGTGGTTTGTCACAGAGATAACAGTAATAGTCATCATACCTTATGTATATTCACATTGTATAAAGCTTTTTATTAGCAATTTAAGCTAGTAACAGTTCTGTAAAGGACTATTTTTTCCCATTTTATGAGTAAACAAACTCAAAGGTGTTCAATTATTTTCTAGAATGTGGCAGGGTCAGATATGAACTCAGATATGGCTCTAAAATATGTGATGGCTGATGTGTCACAAAACTGATGCCGCCAAGCTGTCTGTCATTTCATAATTTCTGCATAGTTGCTTTCATATTCATCCAAAAATGAAGATGCAGTTTACAAACTACTCAATCCTTCCTTTTTAACCATTTGTCTATTTGTACATCATTTATTCATAAATACTTAATATATGATTCCTGCATTTGGCACTGAGAATCAAGATAACTAATTACATCTTCATGACATCCAAGATCTCAGTTGAGAAAAATATAAAGATTTTTTAAAAGTTATTAAAAGAGCCTGATAAATGTATGTGATGTCAAAAGGTACACTGTGCTTTAGAAGCCCAGAAGAAAGGATAAACAAAGAGATAGAAGAATCTTCCCTAGGGAGACCCCAATTTTGCTGGGTTTGGAGGATGAATAAGAGTTCACCAGTATTTTCATCTTCCATTTCTTTCCTTTTAATAATTCAGTAGGCAAATAGACAAGTAAAAAATATATTTCACAAGTTATTTCTTCTTTATATAAAATTATAAATAGTTTTAATTGAATTTCCTTTGGTTATTCAAGGAATAGAAGAAAGACAACTTGTTCCAGAGAAAACTCTTTAGCATTTATCAGTATCAGTGGATAGTCAGGAAAAGAAGAGGGCACTTTATTCCTTTAGAGAAGGCTGGGGCCCCTGAGTCTAAGTCAGAGTTTTGGGGTTTTATTGTTTTTGATTTCTTTGTGGTTCCTTATAAGCACAGTTTGGTTTCCTCAATATTAGAGTTAGGACTAAGGAATGCATTATATCAAGAAGAGATAAGAAATGTATAGTTTACTTAACATAGTTGTATTTCGCTCTTTATGTTTCTTTTGCTCTGCTAACCATTTGCATAATGTTTCTTGTTATAAAAAGAAAAAGCCTTTTATGGATCTGCTAAATGCGAACTGCAAAAGATAAAGAGATGGTGTCTTTTTCAAGTCTTCCATGCTTTGTGGTGGGCTTTGCACTGTAGGTACATCATCATTGTAGGTTGATTCAACAGGAGATCCCAATCCAAGTGCCCTTCTTTCAGATTTCATTTTCATTCTCAGACAAGCTTACTCACTCTGCCACCTATTGGCAGAAGAAACATCCTCTGGTTGAGCTAATTCTAAGCACTCCAACCTCAACTTGGATGAAAATTTTTCACCAAAAAACTGATAGCACGATACATTATCTTCTCTACTACATGCATTATAAGTTAGGAGAAGAAAATGCTTGTGACTAGCTAATTCTGACAAAGCTTATTTGGTAAAGAAGGTTAAAATCATGGCAAAGGTGAGTTTTGCGTTTAAGGAATTAACATAGATTCCTTTGTGCATCGTACTGATAGTACTGTACTGAGCATCCGGACCTTGATTTATCCTTCAGAACATGATTCAGCCTCTGAGTCTTCATTTTCTTCTAGTTCAAAAAGGAACAAGAATATCTTCATTGCCCAACTCACAATGAGTTTAGGAGACAAATAAGATATGGATATGTGACCACAGAATGATTCATCCAGATGGATTTTCTCCCTTAATCTTCCTCACCTTTCTCCATCTGCCCTCTTGAAAAAAAAATCCTTTGAAATAGCTATTCAATTAATTTCTCTCATTTTTTATAGGAGACAACAGAGTCCCAGAAACGTAGTGATGATCCATGAGATGTGGATGAACTTGAGGAGACAAATCACAGATTTGGCCCTAATGCCTAGAACTAAGAAGTAGCTTAAAGAAACACAGCAGAACAACTGCAGCCCCTCACGTTTTTTTTTTATCTTTTTGTGGCTCTCAACACATTCTGAGCAATGATATGTGTGGTGTGTGTGTAACTGTGTCTCATATTCTACACAATGCATAATACAGAGTAGGCTCTTTATAATATTAAATGGGTGAGGTGGTGAATAAAATAACCTTACAGTGCAATACATCTACTATACAGATGGGTGGATTGAGGCCACAGAAGTCTCAGTGATTCATCTAGCATAAGAAGTAAATCAGAACTTGGGCTACAAGACACTTTGATGTTCTGATTATAGGCCTCTTTCACTTATCTCCTTTGCTCTCCTGTTCCACTGGGAACTCCAGATTGCCAAAGTCCTAAAGCAGATTGGCCTCTTCTGGTACCCTAAATTCTAAAGACTGTGATTCCTTTTCCTCCATAACTCAAGTGAGTCATGGGTGTTTCTGCTGGAATGAGAAGGGGCAGCAAGAGGGGGAAGTGGTAGGTATCACCCTCTATAATAGAAATTGGGAAGACATTAAGCACAGATACTGGCCAAACCTGCAAACAGCTGAGTGAGTTTGGTGTATTTGGGACCAAACACAGCAAACATGATGACATATGCAGGGCAGTGACCATGACTATCTTTGGTCTGGATAAATTGCGGCTCTGGAAAGGCAACACACTTGAATAGGAATTATTTGAAACAGTGCAGGTGTTTTACTGCAACATATTCTACCACAGGAAAGAAGTTTCAGGAGTATCTCTTTTTAATCATGGCCATATCACTCGTGTAAAATAAATGACTTTACCATATGTATAATGCTGGTGAGTGCTGAGGAGCCTTTGGTTAGCTTTATTTCTGAAAGCAGTCTATCCTAATGTACATGCATAAAAACCCAAACCTAATGCATTTTATTATTGGCAGTGGAGCCAATCCACCATTAACAAAGATTATAAGGACCACTTTGGTCATTGCTTATACATCTCGTTGAACACAAATTATAATACTAATTATAGCAATAAATAGCATTGTACTAAATAGTCTATGCTTCATTTAATCATCGCAAAAACCCTATGTAATTAATTTGTATTGCAAATGAAGAACCGAGGTTCAGAGAGATCAAAGGACTTGCCTGGGGTTGTACAGGTAGTCAGTGGGAGAGACAAGCACAGAATTCAAGCACAGCCACTAAGCCCTCACTCACCCTTACCAATAGTCTATTAAATACAGCCTTAAGTTTCTGTTATATGTCCACTTGGTTTATTCCTTCTAGGAGACTGCAAGCTCTTAGAAACCAAGAATCAAGTCTTACACTGTTCCCTAAAAATATCTGTCACAATACTCTTCAGGAATATATCCTAAAATAGCAGGATGGCCAAAACCTGAGGTTTAGCAAATTGAGAGAGGTAGAACAGACAGACAGGCAGACAGGCAGACACACAGATGGAAACATACAACTATTTGAAGATGGGACAATCAGAGGAGGGTGAGAATCAATGGACTATCAGGGAAAAGAAAAATGGAGCATCTCAAATTTAATACTTGAGCTCTGATTTGTTTCAGCCAACTCTAGTAATAAGATATGTCCTTGCAGAGAAATGGCTAACATCTCTCCTGATTTACACATAAAAGGATTTATTGTTCTTCTCACCTCTGTAAAGCAATGTTAAGATCAACAGGATTAGTGGCATTATATGGTGCTCTCCACAGAGTTTAATGCCATTTCAGGCTGTTAAAAATTTATAGAAACAAATAAGAGAGTCCAATATCAGCTGAAGCTCTAATCCCCTTGAAGTGAAGAATAGCTTTCAGGCTGACATTTCTTTTGGAAATATAAACCCAGGTGCTTGCAGTTTGCAGATGACACTAACCTTCCTCTTGAGCCATAACTGTAGAAATGCTGGCCAGACAAATGTGGAAGAGTGTCTGAAGATACTGGGATGCACAGATCAGTTCCATTTCTTCATTAAGTCTTTAAGCACACAGGGCAAAGAGTACAA
The DNA here is from genome assembly GCF_000001405.40 of Homo sapiens. NCBI lineage: Eukaryota > Metazoa > Chordata > Mammalia > Primates > Hominidae > Homo > Homo sapiens. The sequence continues at coordinate 90,146,046 of NC_000010.11, read as the reverse complement.
GGGTGACAGTGAGATGATCCTTCCTCCCCAAGGGTGAAAGAGGCTCGGAGATAAAAAAGGTAAACCTGCCCTATAAATATTAAGGGACAAAATCATCCCACAAGAGTGGATAGGCAAAGGCCCTTGAAAAAGGCACAGTGGTTTCTAGGCCATCAATAGTTATTCATTCACCTATCCATCTATGCATTCATAAATTTAAAAGACAAAATGTCTGTCATAAAAGAGATTAATTAGCAATGGAAGCCTAGAAAACCATGTTTTTCTCAGATACATATTCACAATATTCCACCTAGGGAGCAGAAACTCAATCCCAAAGACCCCAACCTGTCTGGTCCCCGTGGCAATTCCACACGATCATGGAAAGAGATGCATCAGGCCCTCTCCACCATGTGATTCTTCTGATTCTCTTTCCTTATCATAAATCATAGAATCTAAGACTCAAAGAATCCATTCAAAAATGCACATTATTTTATATACAACTAAAGAAGAAAAAACAAGCTGCAATTATACTATACTATATATTTCTTATAAGATAAACTTTTAAAATATTACAGTAAAGTGCTTATTTAGGCTTTGTTTTATATAACTTCCTTTCACCTGTCCCTGCAAAATCTACTCCCCATCTTTTTCCATATGGCTTTCTGTCCCAGAAGGCTGCCTTAGAAGAGCTACCTCTGTAGTTAAACTGTGGCCCTCAGACCCTCGAGCCTCCACCAGACTTTTCCAGGAGGTACACAAGGTCAAAACTATCTTTATAATAATATGAATACATTATTCATCTTTTCTGCTGTGATGGCATTTGCATTGATGGTATAAAAGCAAAATTGAATAACGCCTGTCTACTGTTGCCTTAGGCATCAAGGCAGGGGAACTAAACTGTGCTAGCAGTCATTATGTTTTTCACTCACCAAGCACTCTCAATTATTTAAAAAATCAATTTTCATTTAAGGATGTCTGTGATAAAGCAGCAAACACAATATTAATTTTATTCCATTTAAACCTTGGAGTTCCTCTTTTTAATATTCCATCTTACAAAATGGAGATATGAGCCAGGCACAGTAGCATGCACCTGTAGTCCCAGCTCCTCAGAAGGCTGAGGCAGGAGGATCACTTGATCTCAGGAGTTTGGGAGGCTGTAAGTGCACTATTATGGGTTGTGAATAGTCACTGCTCTTCAACCTGGGCAATACAGCAAGACCCCATCTCTAAACAGAAGTAATGATTTATCAAAAGGGGAGCATGCATAAAGCACTTCTGCTGCATACCAAAGCATGAGTGTTGCCTCCCAGAAAAGCACATACAGGAATGTTTGAGCTGCAAGTTAAACTACCTACTTTTCTCATTTGGAAAGAAGACTAGCAGACAAACAGTGGTATTCAAAATTAGGTATTTGACAGACATCTTCTCAAAAATAATGCAAGTGAGCCTGTCACTTCAAGAAAAAAAAGTGATGGTATTAATATTTGTTGCCAATGATAAAATTTGAGCTTTCAAGTAGACATCAGATTTTTAAAAAACTTTTATCTGCTACAATGAAGTTACAACTTCCCAGAGCTTAAAGATTCTTCAGATGAGATCAGTAGTGATAGAAACAAATGTGGTTATTTTTAATATTGTCATATATGTCAATATGTGGTAAATGTGCATAATTCACTAAACCTATATTTGTTAAATAACCAAAGCATGAAGCTAGAAAATCATGCACAAGTAAAAGGTACATTCAACATACAAGATAGACCAGTGGATTTTAATGTAACCAAGTACAAAAAAAACGCAGTGATGTAATTTCAGATTCCACACTGCCCCAACCTTTAAGAAACAACTTGTTAAGTTGTGGTGTATTATTAAAAAAGAACATTCATACTTATGTAAAAAGGTACTTCAAATACCCCTTACTTCTCCAACCACAAGCCTGTATGTGGACAGATGTTCTTCATACACTTCAACCAAAACAATATATCACAGTATTTGGAATGCAGAAGAAAATGTGAGAATCCAGTTGTTTTTAATTAAGCTGAACATTAAGATGATTTTCAAAAATATGAAACAATGCTACTTTACTCACTATTTTTGAAATATGTAGCTATTTTTGTTGAGATATGTCATTTTTATTAATATGATATGGGTTTTCTATTATTTTTCATTGAATTAATTATTTTCATTTCTTAGGTTTCATTTCCAGTGTGGTAAATATCAGTAGATATTAGTGAAGAAAACGAAAGTCATTTGGGATTCTCAATAATTTTTAAGAGTGTAAAAGAGTCCTATGACCAAAAAGTTTGAGAGCTAATGGATTATATACTCTAACTTCCGGCTTCCAGCTGAGTTTGACCAATGGAGAGCCTCAGTAAGAGATTAGAGACTGAGAGAGAGAGAAAAGGAGATGGGGCTATTTATTCCCCCAGCTCCCTGCCCAAGGGGCCACATGCACCAGTTCTAGCCCTCCTCCTCTTATACTTACCACCCTAGGCCTTGTCTCACAACTCTCTCCCTCTGGCTGCTAGTAGCATCTTCCCTCTCCCACCTAGCAGTGGCAAAGGCTTTGCTGTTACCAGTCCCAGGTCACAGCACTTCCTCTATGTTTCTCTCCTACATGCGTAGTTTCCTCTTGGCTCCCAAATGATAGAGACTGATTTAAGCATTTTTATCATGTATACATACAAACTGAAAAATATAAGTGAAATTCAAAATATTTCTAAGTTTCTTCACAATACAAACCCGATTCTTCCTAACCACTTTTTGCCTGAGAGTCACTAACGTTCTTTTCCACCTCCTGAGCCATCATAATCATAGTAAGTTCACATTTCCTTATAAAAATAGTTTTATTGAGATATAATTCACATGTCATATAATACACCCATTTAAAGTGTACAGCCCAGTGGTTTTTAGTTCTTTTATAGAGTTGTGCAACCAATACATCAATTTTAGAACATTTCATCACCCAAAAAAGAAGCTCCTTAATCATTAGTAGTCATTCCAAATTTCTCTCTTTCCCCCACCCTCACCTCCCCTATCCCCCAACCCTCACCCTTTGGTTCCAAGAAATCACTTATCTGCTCTCTGTCTATATATATTTGCCTATTCTGGACTTTTCTTATCTTTTTCTCACATGTCTTAAAAGAGTGATCCACATTTGTCTCTGAGATTTTCTCCCAAGTCGCTGACCCATTTTCCAAGTTTTGATGCTGAGGTTATTGACTTAATGCATATGCAGACTTTAACGAGCTACATTTCAATTGCTGCCTGATCAACAGCAACAGTAAGAAACCATTGTCTAATACATATCATAATTCTGAAGATGTTAAAATGTGAGAATACATATGTCTTAGAGTTAGTGAAATACGGTAGTTTAATTCCATGCTCGGCAAGCAACCTTCTAATTATTGGGCTTTCCATAAAGCTTCATCTAGTCTCATATCCTTCCATTAATGCAACATCAGTTCATTCATCATGGGTGTTTTAAAAATCAAGAACAACAATGCAAATTATAAGAAATTGTGAAATTCCTGGCTCCAGAAAAAGGTGGGAATCACCACGCATAGCTCAGTCACCAACTTGTACTTGGCATGTTTTAACAGATTAGTTAGGGGTTTTCTCATTCCCAGAGAACAGAGGATTCTCTGCCCTCAGCTTGGAGGATGTCTGGCCCCTTCTGCTAAGACCCAATGTGAATCCCCTGACCCAGGTACAGCCCAAGGTTTCCAAGTAGGTTGTTCAACCCTCAGCCATCCACACATAAGAATTCCCTGGTGTCCCTCTACCTCACCAACCCTAGTGGGAGAGATTCCACAAGCAGATTCTGTCTTTGAATTTTTGTCAGTTTTTGCTTAATCTCTACCTCTGACTCTCTCTCTTTTTCTCAAAAAAACAAATATGTCATTCTGGACAGCTAGAACAACGGCTCCTCTTAATTAAATTTACTCTGTTAACCTCAGGCCCTCTCTTCATAATTAGTTTGCAGTTACTGCTTTCCAACATCAGTCACTGTCTCTCCATATCCTTCTAAATCTAAGATGCAGAATTTGTGTTTCCCAATTTTTGTCAGTGCATTCCTGGTCCACCATAAAGCCATCACTCACAAAGCCATCTTTGGCATTTTGGCATCAACATGCATAAACTCATTTTTCACACAGTGAAAACAGGAATGCAGTCACAGTGCACATATAACTCAACACAAAGCAACATTGTTTTTAACCTTTATTCAGTGCTTAATAGGCACAAGATATTATTATGCTGAGAATCATACATGATTTTCTCATACAATCCTTTAAAAGAACTTAACTAATGATAAACTCCGAGCCATAGGTTGATAATTCATTCAAAGTTGCACAGCTAACATATTCAGCAGCCAAGGCTGAGCCTGTGTTTCTGGCTGCCCTAGGCTTTCCTACCTTATTTACTGAACATTTACTACCATCTATTTTGAGCAATGCACTGTTCTAGGCTAGGAGAGAGGTAGAAAATCAGGAAAGACGTAGTTTCTCCTCTCAACATCCTTATGTTCCAGCAGGGGAAATCAGACCCTATATAATAATACTAGCATCTGGTAGAATGCAATCTGCACTCAATGAATGCCAACCAAACACTGATAGAGCACAGAGGAGAACTCCAGCTGAGGAGAAAGTAGGGCTTCCAGGAGGAACTGGCATTTGAACTGCACTTGAGTGATGGTTAGAATATAATGAGAAAATTGTAAAAGTAACATAAAGTAGGCTGAATGCCTAGGGGCCTAGGGGAGGGAAGAAAGGGAAGCCAAGAAAGTGTTATTTATTACCACCTGCCACTATTTGTGATTCTGCTGCTTAGATCTATGGCCAGCCCAAAGTCAGAATCAGAAAGGGCAACCTGCTCCTCACAGCACCCACCAGGCCAGTCTGTTAGCTGCGTTGTTCCCCAGCTATGTGCAGCTATGCCCTGGTGCCAGTGCCAGAGGCTGTCCATGAATTCTTAAAAGGTTTCTCCCATCTCTGGGCTGGTGATCCCCTTGCTCGAGCTCCCGCTCTGGCTGTCATTTCATTTCATTCTTCACACTTGTCTGGGCTGAAAGAGGCGGCCTGCATGGAACAATGGAGTTATCACCACAGACTGTCAGAACAGCCAGAGCCCTGCAGGATCACTGGGGCCAAGGATTAGAAAAATAAATAAATAAAATAAAAATGAAAAAGGAGGTAAAATCCCACCTGACAGCCTATGGACAAATTTAACCCACTCTGCTCACTCTGCTGAAATGCCTTGGGGCGGGGGCGGGTGTTCTCCACCCCGCACAGCCCCCAATTGGCCTGTCTCACACCTAGAACTTCACACATTTACTTCCTCACTGATGTCTTCAGGCCCCTAAAGACATTAAGATTTTATTTCTGAACTGATCACCCCTTGACATTTAAAATGGGGAAACCAATGCTCAGGAGCCTTGGCCAAGGTCATGCACCTGGTTAATAATAACCACATTGAAGTTAAAAGTGCAGAATTTCCTCTCATTCCAGTGACTTTCCTCAGCTAAACTATACCTGCTTTCAACCTTGTAAGTGACTCAGGATCTTATAGGATTTGCAGATAAATCCTAACACAATATTCAAAATGGCCATAGATTGTACATAAGAAATCCACAAATACATAGATCTTTCCCCTTTGCTTGTGTCTGCTAGTTACCTTATTAGCATCAGTCATTTAATTTTGTATATTGATATAGTTATATTCTAAAAAGACTTACATTACTTTTCAAAAATACACAAAATACGTTGAGATGACATTAGAAGTAGTTGATAAAGTGAATGCATGGGACTACAATAGTAAGGAAATAAAATCAAGCTAAGAATGAGGTTGATATAAAATACATATCATGAAGCATTATTTGCTTGCCACACAAAAGAGGTATATTTGCCTCTCAATATCCCAGCAGTCAATGATTCATTTATTCCATCATATAATTCTGCTTCCCCAGAATAAAATCAAATTATTTGTCAAGAAGAAAAAACAAGTTAAAGTCAAATGTTTCACTTAAGGGGACTGATGATATGGCCCCAGTGACTGGAGGAACACCAGGGTTTTTGGTCTCACACCAATGTAGGTAAAATGACATGGACACACATGGAGTGGTTTTAAGGAGCGGAGTTTAATAAGCAAGAAGGAAGGAAGAAGCCCCCCAATACAGACACAGAGACAGAGAGAGAGGGGCTCCCAGCCAAGAGAGGGAACCACATGTGTGGTGGAAAAGTGGTTGTTTATATTGAAGGACGGCGGAGGCAGTGTTTGATTTGCATAGGGCCCAGGGGATTGGGTTGACCAGGTGTGTCATTTACCTAGCCCCAGAAAAACCTGGTCCTCCCACCTTTGCCCTTTAATATGCAAATGTGGCCTACCATGATGTTTTGATCACATGGTGTTATTTTCAGGTGGCCATAACACTTGCCACACCTGGTGACAAGGAGAAGAAGGCGGGAATTGCCATATTGGCCATGTCAGATGAACCTAGTTTTTAATCGCCAGCATTTGCCTATCAAAGCTTGCTGGCCTGGCTCTTCAAGCCACCTTTCTGTTAGAAGCAAAATGTTTCGAGGGTTGTTTCCATTAAAAGAAAAATTTCCACTGAGAACTATTACCCTATCCAGCTGCCTAAAATTATTTCTTAATAACTCCTGTATTATTTCCCTTTTAAAGAGAAGTAAATCTAACTGCTGTTAGGAGGTGTTGAACGATGACTTTTTTCTGGATACTTCCTGCTGAAAAGGGGCATTGTGTGGGGGGACAGCAGTTAGGCCTTCTCCTGAGGTTGATCTAAGGGTTCTTGAAAGAATGGCCCACATGTGGCTCTGCTCGCAGCACTGTTTGGAGTTTGATTGTTTCTAGGCAAAAAGAGATACATTTTACAAGAAAGTTTAAATTATAAGGTTAGAATGCGAGCATTAAGATGACCATTGTTTAGTGGGGGTCCTATGGATGTAGGCCAGAGAGGTAGACACCTGTTAGTTACACCAATGGACCGCAATACTGGTTTTCCTCCACTAGATGTTGCTGTACATTACCAGAAACGTAAAAGTAACATTTTCCTTGAGAAAAGCATACATTTCCTCCTTGACTTGCCTTTAGAAATAAGTTAGGCTTATGACTGAGAGAAATATGTTATTGGGTGGCTAAAATAACTTTAGTGTTAATCTTGGCAATTCCTTTTCTTTAATTATTACATTTTTTCATGACTTTCACAGACCCTTTTGCAACATACTTAAACTTTCTGATTTGTCCTAAACATCCATTCTTTAAGCAAGCAGTCATTTTCTTTTAGGACAAGTATTTACCATAAAAAATTTTTTCTTATATAAAATATTTTTCTTTATAACCTTCTTTTTATAGCTTAGAGTGCATTATATTACCAACCTTCAGTAAAAAGTCCTATTAAACTTAATGATAGTAAAACTTCCATGCTTGCTTTTTATCCGTAACTATTACTCCTACTATAAGCAAAACAACCTTGACTAAATCTTTCCTGGAATTATTACTTATGTTATAAGGACAATAATTAGGCAAAATGTTACAGCAATTCGAATTTTACTACCAGAATTCTATATTGTGGGTGCCACACTGTATAGTTCTATTGCAAATAGTAGCGTGACTATAACAATTATAACAATTCCCACAAGAGTGACATAGCAAATAATTTCCGTTCAAAACTTTATTTGCCATGATATAACGTTTCCCTTTGAAGATTTGCAATGTTACAAATTTAATCCCATGTATAATTAAAATCTTCCTGCAAATATGAGTTAAAAAGAAGTTTTAATATTTGGCAGCGAATTTGAGAGGAAAGGATAGAAATAATAAAAAGTATCTGGTGGGGTAGGAGTGGGACTGAGTAAGATGAGTAGCCCTCACTCAGTTACTTAAAATGTCCTGCCTGCCACACCAATAGCAACTAGCAGATGCTCCTTGGGGATCCTGGACTTTGCAAGCCTGCAAAGCTGCTACCAGAGACTTTGTTCTTCTTTTGAGCTTTCTCTTTTTCTTTGGGGCCTCATCCTGGTGCCTATTATAAAAGACTGAAGTAGCCACTTTCAAGAGGTTCTCTCAAGTGCTATCTGGTCCTATAGCTTGCTTCTGTAGTTTTCTTCTAATATCAGGAGCTGCCTGTGTAATAAACTTGTCTTCTGTGATGAGCTATCCCTCAACTGAATTAGGGGATAAGGAGGTGTTCTCTATTAGTGCCTTGCTCAGCCTTTCCATAAAGGCTGCAGGATTTTCATCTGGCTTTTGGTCTATTATAGACAGTTTAGAGTAATTGAGAGGTTTGGCCCTGGTTTCCCATAGGTCTTGTAAAATGCATATTAAAAAATGCTTCCATTTTCATTCATCTGCAGAGCTATTGTTGTCCCAATTAGGGTTGTCAAGGGGAACTGCTTCCCTTCCAATTGGGAATGGCTTTTCTGCTGTTTCTTTGCTTTCCCTATCCACTTTCTTCCCTTTTTGTGTATTATAGGAGATACATAGCTCATCTCTGAAATTATTTGCTGCTTGCAGAGCTGCCTGCTTTTCATCTGTTGTTAGGGTTTGCCTTAGGAGCAGTGTAACATCCCTCTATGTGAGGTTAAACACCTGAGGTAAATTTTGGAAAGTTTTTATATACCTATCAGGGTCTTTAGAAAATTGGCTTTGCCTAAGGTCCTGTAATGAGAAGGGAACTTGAAGGGGCCCAAAATAAGGGGAATCCTTTGATGGTTCCCCTGGAAGTTGCTTTTCTAACTTTGAGGAACTATTTTCCCTGGGCCTGCTCGATATGATTGCTGAAAGAGCTGTGTTGATTTTACAATGCTTGCGAAGGTTTAGTAAAAATGCCATGCCCTTGTGCAAAATAAAATGAGTAGTTTTCTCTTCAAAGTTCTGAAGTTAAGGAAGTTCCAGTGTCTCAGAGTGCACTCCGGGGGGGTGCCAGCTGAAGACAATGTATTACCCATCTAGAAAAATAAGTGAGAATAAAAGCATTCTCTTAGCCTCCTTCCTTTCCGTATGACCCAAGGTGGAGAAGAAGACCATAGGAGCGTTCTCCAACTGTTTTACCTCCCTTGTTCCTGGATCCCAGCACCATGTTAAATGTGCCACCCATAGTTGAAGGCATGGTCCTACAAGCTATGGAACTGGATGAAATAAGTGATGGGACTACCCGTGCTTACCCACACAACCTTAGCTTATTCACCTTGTGTGATTTCCCTTTGACTTTCTAAACCTATGTGATCTCCCTGGCTCCCCATAAAACAGATCTCCAGAGAGACTGTGTCGCCTTTGGGCAAGGCTCCTTTAACGGAAATAATGTGCTAGATTGCCTGCTATTATGGCTCAAGCTACAGCATTAACCCTCTGAAAAATGTCTCCAGTTAACTTCTGGTCTTAAGATTCCCTTACTAATTAAGTACTGTCTTAATCAGAGACAGAATAGGTGCCATAAAGAAACATAGGAACCAAATGGCTATTTTCCTGCCGATGGAACAGTATCAGGACTAAAATTTGGCTGTGGAAGACATCTTACTCCAAACTACTAAAGGTAAAACTTTCCTGTTCACAGAAGCTGCCTGGAGGCTAGTTTCCAGTAGAAAACACGCAAAAAGGAAAAGTTGTGAAGCTGCACAATGTGTCTTATAAAGAGGATTTTTATTTCTGCTAGTTGGCACTGTTGTCTTAAAATGCCATGTGCTCCCCAGAGAAACCCTAGAGGGAGATGTTTATTAAGTTATTGCCTGCTTGATTGCTGATCTTTTCTAATAGAACTGTTTCCCTGAACTGTGAGAATTCCTGCATGTTAGACACACACAGAGAGAGTAGGAGACTGTGGATACAAAGGGGAGGAAAGTTTTGTGACAGGATAGCAGGAAGACAGCCTTGAGATTAAAGGACAGATTTGAAATTGAGATTTGCTCTGCTCTGGTACTCACCACTTGGATAAATGAATTCCCATTCCTGGCCAATGCACCAAAACTATATGGCTCTGATGACTGGAGGAACACAAGCGTTTTTGGTCTTGTGCTGATATAGATAAAATGACATGGACAAACTTGGAGTGGTTTTAAGGAGCAAAGAGTTTAATAGGCAAGAAAGAAGGAAGAAGCCCCCCCATGCAGAGGCAGAGGGAAAGGCACTCCAAGCCAAGAGAGGGAACCCCATGTGCGGTGGAAAAGTGGTTGCTTATACTGAAGTCTGGAGGAGGTGGTGTTTGATTTGCATAGGGCCCAGGGGATTGGGTTGACCAGGTATGCTATTTATGTAGCTTGAGAAAAACCTGGCCCTTCCACCTTAGCCCTTTAATATGTAAATGTGGGCCGCCATGATGTTTTAAGCACATAGTGTTATTCAGAGGTGGCCATGACACTTGCCTGATGGCAAGGAGAAGAAGGTGGGAATCGCCATATTGGCCATGTCAAATGGACCTAGTTTTGGTTTTTTTTTTTTTTTTTTTTTGAAACGGAGTCTCATTCTGTCACCCAGGCTGGAGTGCAGGGGAGCAATCTCAGCTCACTGCAAGCTCTGCCTGCCTGGTTCACACCATTCTCCTGCCTCAGCCTCCCAAGTAGCTGGGACTACACGCACCTGCCACCACACCCAGCCATTTTTTTTGTATTTTTTTTAGTAAAGATGGGGTTTCACCGTGTTAGCCAGGATGGTCTTGATCTCCTGACCTCATGATCCACCAAAGTGCTGGGATTACAGGCGTGAGCCACCAATGGACCTAGTTTTTAATTGCCAGCATTTACATATGAAAGCTTGCCTGCCTGGCTCCTTAAGCTACTTTTCTGTTACAAAACAAAAAATGTTTTGAGGGTTGTTTCCATTAAAAGAAAAATTTCCATCAAAATCCTTTACCCTATCTAGCTGCCTAAAATTATTTCTTAATAACTCCTGTATTACTGGCGTGTGATGTAATGAACCGGGTTTCAACACGCTCTACGAGATGTTCTGATTTTCACCTGTTGACTGCACTACATAATTTTTTTAGGTTATTTTATGACTCCTAGCCTGTGTACACAAATCACTGAGGAAACTTGATGTTTTTGAAAGAGCTTCAGAAGTAGTGTTCATACATTTATTCCATAAATAATTGTATCACTCACTGATATATAAAAAATGTTCAAATATGAGTAGATGCTGTTGTGGTTATAAAATACATTAAATTTTAATATAGGACTACTGGAAGTTTATTTTCTCATTCTTTGACCATAGATATTAAAAATATAATTACTCTCATGGGGTGACAGTGTGGCAAGGGGATCTGCATGACTTTACAATGTGAAGAAGAAATAAAAGCAGGACCAATATGAGCACATGGCTGTTTGCAGCCACCATCTGAAATGGTTAGTGCCAGTGCTGCACCAGTTGTCAAATACCAACATTCTTATGTTTAATAAATACTAATTTTACTATCTTATCTGTTAAAAGAAATTGGGAAGCCCTTATCTGGAAGTTTAAATAAGTTGTCTATTCTAGAAGCTCTTCTCTATAAAAATTTTTCTCTTGACCAAGAGTTTAAATGGAGCACAAGAGAATTCACGTTTTCGATTCCTGACAATTACCTGGCTTGGGGCACATTCGTCTTGCTACTTAAATTTGAAATGATGTGTCTTAACTGGCAGCTGAGCTGGAGGATCAGTTGACATCTTTTTGTGAAATTTGAGAAGACTAACATGGATGTATATCTCACCTACATTCTAAAAAGGGATTCAAGCCATTCATGGGAACAAAGCTGAGTTTTTTATTCATCTTTATATCTGCTTCCCCCCACCTGACCCCAACAAAATAAAAGGCAATCAATATTCCAGAAAGATCTAAGTAGCCTGGCCAAAATTGCTTTAACATGGAATATTTCACAGCCAAGTGAATCCACATGACTTCTCCACCATTTAAAATATCATTCAGAGAATGACTAATTTTGAGGTACATTATTTCCCATTACCTTCATGAAAAACATGTGCCAAGACCACTGATCAAGGTGTGAAATTACTGAATAAGAATTAAGTACAAATTAGTTGCTTTCTACAAAGTTATTTTTCATTTTGGTATACTCAATCCGTAGTCTTTCTCTTCTGTAATAATTAGATAACATGTCAAGTTGCCTAGTAAGATCTCTCCTAGATAATAATGTTAAAAACATAATACATCTCAATGTGTTATCAGATGATAAGAAACTAATTAAAATGAAGGAAAGTTAGGACATAGTCATGCTTTATCTCACTGGAAAAGCTTGCCTATTTGATTAAGGGGCACCTACTCTCTGTGACTCATGGAATATTATGTTTCAGATGCTATACAAACATCAGTAGCTGAGTGTTGGGCAAGAAGGAGACAAAGGTATTTTGAATTTATTTAACCAACTTTTTGTGCACAAACCAAAAGCTAATGGAAGATCAATAAAAATAACAATATTATATATTATTCCCGATAGATTTCTGCACAAAATAAATATATCTCAATACATCTCATTTCTGCACAAAATAAATATATGTCATGTATAATAGCAATGGGCAAACTCTACCTACTCCTTATATAAAATATTAGCTTGAGAAACTTGAACTTATAATTGATAAAAAATAAATAATAAATTGGCCTATATTTTAAATAGAATGTATTTTAAATAAAAAGGCTTAGTTAAGGGTTGTAATGCTTATCTTTTCCAAAAATGGAGTCTATTACATGCTGGGCCTTACTGAATTGTGCCAAACCTGTAATTTGCTGAAGGCAAATCAGTCTGCAAGGAACATGGCCCATGGTTCACCATGTGTTCTGAATGACTTATGCATATGTAGACAGTGTCTCCTGGGTGATTTCTTTAATAGGAGCTTCACAATCACACATACTAGAGGAGAACAGTCAGTTGAGTTGAAGTAACTTGCTCTATTTGGACCTCAGGACTGGGAAGCAGACATTATATCTTCTGGGATATAGTCAATCATGATATTTCTAAGCATACGTATTATTTTCTATGCCTTGCTTCTCTTACTCTATCAAAATTATGGCACTACTACAATGAGATACCACTTCATACCATTACGATGGCTATTATTAAAAAAAAGCAGAAAATAACAAGAATTAGTGAGGACATGGAGAAATTGGAACCCTTGTAATGGGAGTGTAAAATGGTGCAAGCTTTGTGAAAAACAGTTTGGTGGTAACTCAAAAAGCTTAACATAGAATTACCATATGACCAACTAATTCCCTTCCTAGGTATATATCTGAAAGAATAAACAGCACGGACTTTGACAGACACTTGCACACTAATGTGCATAGCAACATTATGGACAATAGCCAAACGTAAATGACCCAAATATCTATCAAGAGATAAATGGACAAGCAAAATGTAGCATATACATAAAATGGCATATTATTCAGTCATGAAATGGAATGAAATTCTGATGCATGCTACATTGTGGATGAACCTTGAAAATGTTATGCTAAGTGAAATAAGCCAGACACAAAAGGACAAATATTGTGTGATTCCACTTATATAAGGTATCTAGAATAGGCAAATTTGTAGAGACAGAAAGTAGACTATAGGATAACAGGGGCTAAGGGGAGAGGGGAGTGGAGAGTTATTGTTTAATGGATAGAGTCTCTGAAATGATGAAATCTTTCGGGAAATTGACATGGGTGATAGTTTCAGAATTTTGTGAATGTATTTAATGCCATCGAATTGTGCCCTTAAAATAGTTAAAATGATAAATTTTATGTTGTGTATATTTTACCACAATTAAAAAAATATATAGCACTAGAACCCACCATTCTCACTCTGATTCCTACACTGCCCCTCCACTCACACACAAGCCATAATTCTATCAACCTTTGCTATATCCAGTCCAAGGGCCACTGAAAGCACCCGAAGAATCCCTGAAACTGCCTGTCATGGGAAGTCCCAGAAAAACCCCTGTGAAGACAGGCAACCCTGTGATACTTCCCAGAAGATGGTTTCAGGAGGACACCAGTAGGTTCAGCAATTGTAAACAAGTTGTTTTGAATCAATGGCTTCAATTGTGTGATTATTTGAATTCAATGGGTTTAATTAGGTAATTAGTATATAAGAGTATGCACTAGATACAATAATTTAAATTTTTGGAGCACTTGAACATTACTGATTGAAAAAGTGGGAATTTGAAACCATGGGACTCCTTCCCTCTGCATACCTCTCAAACCTCTCCAACTTATTCCCCAGAAAAAATTTGAACCTAAGGAAAATTTATCAATAAACAAAGCCTCCATCAAGGAGCTACTTTGGCCTGAGCAAAACTTCTCTTCAGTCATATCTGGAAGGACAAGTCATGAGTGCTTGGATGTAAAGGAAAATGCTTTGCTACTATCCAATCCTGCAGCAGTTAGAGATCAACTCCATCCTTCAGACCAGTGGTTGCCCTATCACATCCCTGCCACAGATGAAACCATTTTATTCTCTCTAACATCACTGTATTAGTTCCTTCTCACATGGCTATAAGTGACTACTGAAGACAGAGTAATTTATGAAGAAAAGAGGTTTAATTGACTCACAGTTACACAGGCTTAACAGGAAGCATGACTGAGAGGCTTCAGGAAACTTACAATCATGGCCGAAGACAAAGGGGGACCACATCTTACCATAGCGGAGGAGGAGAGAGAGTGAGGGGGGGAATTGCCACATGCTTTTAAACCATCAGATATGTTGAGAAATCATTCACTATCACAAGAACAGCAAGGGGGAAATCCACCATCATGATCCAATCACTTCCCACCAGGGCCCTCCACAAATTCAACATGAGGTTTGGGCAGGGACCAAATCTAAGTCCTATCAATCCCCATTTCTCCTTCCCTCCGGGGGTTAGGAGGCAGAATAGGAATCCAGGAATGGTGACAAGGAAGTATGTAAAAGTGCAACTGAAGTACTGGCTACTGTACTTTCCTTTGCCATGAAAAAAAAAAAAAAAAGATGTTCTAATTAGACACCAGATAGGTAAGAACCTAGTGACTCACTCCAAGTTATACAAACATCTTCATGCAAATTAAAGTATTTGCCACCCAAGCAATAACTCTGTCTTCTACTCTCTTGGCCACAATGGTAGTTGAGCTGGGAGCAACCTTTCAGCACCTGCATCACCATGTTCTGTGGTCTTCTTACTTCGTGTCATTGTTTCTCTTAATAAGTAAGAAAATACCTATAATCAGTAATAACTCCAGCACTGGAGTCAAGTGACTCCAAATCAACAAGTGTTAGAACCAGAAGTCTCTCTAAGCTTGTGTAGTCTAATTCTTGCATTTTAAGAAATAAAGAAACTGAAGCAAGGAGAACTGAAAACATCTGTCTGGGTCACATTTCTTATCTGTAGTAGAGAAGAAAAGTCCCTGCTTTTGGCTTGGTGGCCTTTCCTCAAGAATGTGCTTCTGCCATGGTCACAGTAGAAGTCTCAGCCTTCTTCATAGTATCCATGGCTTTAGTGGATTTATTTCATTCAAACAATGGCTCCAAGTAGAGGGAAAATGTGTTTGTCTCTCTTCAAGCTGTCTACTTTGTTCAGGACTGTGGACTCTGCTTGAATGATTCATATCGTGACAGCCATTACAGACTTGAAACTCTCAAAATGTCATTGGGCCTATGATATATTGGATTTTTCTTAAAACTGGTAAAATGCAAATTGTTAAAAAAAGATATCTTTCCATACCTTATGTCTGATATTTGATAGATAGTACCATAAGAAAATCCAAATGACAGCTTTCAGTTTCTTAATATCAAAATTTGACTAGTAAGAGAGATTTGATTTCCTACTTTGTTTGGGAAATCTGGGAAAATATGGTCATAACTGAGTTTGTGGCCTTGACATCATGGAGCTCACCAAAGCTCTATGATTTTTTTCTCATACCAATAGACAGTCTTCTCTACAGAACTGCATGTTACAAAGAAGCAAAACACTAAAGTACAGACTTAACCTTCACTACCTCTGTGGCTTTAGAAAAATCATCAGCTTTTCTGTATCTTGGTTTTCTCATTTCTGAATTTTTGATACCAATTCCTATCCCAGCCTACCTCATAAGTGATGCTATCTAAATCAACTGAGATTAGCTAATTTATCAAAAATGCTTTAAGGACAATAAAATACTATATACCTTTAAGAAAATAGATCTCTTAATCACCTTCTACCCACAGGAAGCTCAAGAAAACTATTCAGGCTGGTCATAAAGAGTTCAGGCCCTGTGATGAGTTTGGTTCCTTGGATGAAGAAGCAAAAGGAAATGCAGTGTTTTTACTAATTAAATCACCCAGTGAATAAGTATTTATGGAAGGTGGACGTGAACTGAGGTTGGTGGTTTTAAACAGAAAAACAGCAAAGGGGCAGAGATGGGTAATGGAAAGTAGTATTGTAGATCAAGTAGTGAGGTTACTTTAGAAAAAGGATTGAGAAAAGCAACTGAAGGAGAAAAAAGGGGGAAACATGTAATATCAGTTAGTGAAGTAATATGAAAACTAGGAGAACCAGGATAAACAGATGAATATCTCCTTCTGCAGATTCCCTCCTCTTTGTCACTCCTTATCTCTCTATACCTGTGATAGCGAGTGATTCAATTAGTAAGTATTTATTAAGACACACCTGGTCTATACCCAGTTCTGTTCTAGGCCTTGGATAAATTAATTAATAAATGAAACAGACAAAATCTCTGACATCATGGAGCTTGCATTTTAGCAGCCAGCAGGGTGAGGAGGAAGGAAATGAGCAATAAACACAGAAAATTAGACAAAGAAAGGTAATTTTAGAGAGCAATAGAGCTATAAAATATAGAACATGGCAGAAAGGATCCTAAATTAGCTACAGTGAGCCAAAGAAAGACTCTCCAAGGAGAGAAGCTCACAACTCTTTTAGTTCCAAATAATAAAAATCCATATCAAATAACACTAAGAAAACAGATTTTATTGACCCAAGAAGGTAGATAGGACACTAAGGTAGCCTCATGATCAAATGAGTAACTGCAGGGTCCAGGGCCTTGGGGCCTCAGAGATGGGGAAATCAAACCAAGAAAACACAACCTTCCTTTCTACTTCTCATCCCCTTTAGTCTCAACATTCTCAGATTCACATCCTCCCATTAAGGCAAACCCAGTAGAAAACAGAGTGTCTTTTTTTCCAAAGTTTTCTCAATCCAAGGAAACAATTTTGGTCAGGCATGAGTTACAAGGTCATCCCTATGGCTGGGATGGTGGTGGTGGGAGGAGATGGGGAAATGACAGGAAGGAGCATGTTGCTATGGAAGAGGATGGATAAACCCTGTGGACAACACAATATCTACCATAGTTTACTACATTCCACTCCTTGACTTCCCAGCACACTCAAGGCACCCTTCTCTCCTGATACTGAATTACAAAATGCCCACCTACCAAAATGCCAGTATCCCATCTACAACAGAAAACACATCCACCTTTTCCAAAGAGACAACACAAAGCACATCATTTGCTGTATCTAATCCCAAGCCTTTCTTCTCATAGTTTTGTCATATAATAAATTTAAGTAGCCCTACATGACCAGTATAAAATTATAGAGAAATATACAATGTCTGCAATTAAAACTACCATTTGGAAAGCACAGAAAAAAAGAAGCAATGCCAGTCACCTCTGGTCCACAGTGTATACAGCATATTGTTGAGCCAGAATATCAAGGACTTACCTCTCTGGTCATAGTGCAAGCCCATGATGAGCTTCTCTGCCCCTCCCTGGCTACCTGACCACAACCATTGGCCTTCTTGGATATGCCTCAGAATATGACTTCTCTGTGTTACAGTGCTTTATCTACTTTTTGTTGGTACAAGTATAGCTGTGGTAAGGGCCTTAAGGAGTTGAGTAATTATAGGACATCCTTTGCCAGGCTTGGGGTGTCTTTGTCAATATAATTTCCTTAAAATCTGAGTTGGGTGCTGATCTGTTCAATTCTTGTACCCTCCACTACTTAGTCACCAACATCAGAAACTTTATCAAAACATGACCCTTAAATCTGGCCTCAGGTGTCAATGTCTATATTTATCAGGACTCTTCAAGGTTTAAAATTCAGAACGCCACTTAAACATGGAATCTAAGAATGTGACTGCATTTCCCCCTGACTTCAGCTGATTCTCCCTATCTCCCTGAAGATAAATGCACTTTAATTACTGCATTAACCAGATCTTATTCGGTTGCAACAAATAGAAATTAAACTCACATTGACGTTAGGAAAAAATATTTCTTTTCTTTTAAAGTAAATATATTTGGGTTAAAAAGTGAGTTAGTTTAAAGAAAATAATAAATAATAATAATACATTTAAAACGTGCCACATATAGGTATGGCAAAAAGGAATAAAGGTAATAGGCAAACGGCTGATATTTGAAAAGAATGTTGATGCTCAGTTTAGCTGGGCTAGGAGATCAGCTTTGGAATGCATACTAAAAAAGACCATGACAACAAAGAAAGAGGTATAAGAATCAGGACCTTAGACTCTGACTTTCTACTTGATCTGATTGGCTTTATCCACAGACTCTTGCAGATGGCCGTCAGTGGCCCCAGATCCAAATCCTCCAGCTCGGCAACCTCATAAGAAAAGAGAGTACTGTCTTCTAAAATTGATCCTGGGGAAGAGTCATTATTGGCCAGGCCTACATCCTCTTCTCATCTCTCTAGTGGCTATGAGCTAGTAGAGGAGAGAAGGAACAGTTTAAGAAAAGCAGGGGAAAGATTAAGGCAAAGTTTACTGGGCAGACAAGTACTATTGCCAACATTGGCCACCATTCTCACAAAATCATCATTCAAATTAACACTGTACACTAGAAATGATATTGTATTGTGTTCCACAGTTAGAGAGAAATAGATATTGCTGACATGTTAGATGAGTCCTTTAGGCTTTCAATGGGACATTAAGGAAGAAACCAAAGCCTGAGCCCCCATCACAATTTCCAACCCTTTATTTATTCATTTAATTATTCTTTTGTTTAGCAAATATTTATTAAATATTACCATTCCATGGATTCAGTTAAGTGTTAGCTGAGCATCAATCAACAAAATAGACATGGTCTCCACCTTCATAAATAGGAAATTATGAATTATGTAGTCCCACAAAGTGAAATAAGAGGTATGATAAATGATGTACCTGATTCTACGAGAGGAGGTAATAGGGATACCTGACCTATTCTAGGGGTGAGGTTAGAGGGGAAGTGATCAGGAAAGTCTTCGTGGGAGAAATAATATTTAAACTGATAACTCTAGGAGGAGTCCAAAGTGAAGTGCAGTTAGAGTACGCAAAGGCCCAGAGGCAATAAGATCATGGCACATATGGAAAAATGGAATAAGTTAAAGAAAGCCAGTCTGTTTCTGTTTAATAGCATTTGCATCACCTACTTTCTTCTGAGAAGGATATCTCTTTCCACTTGTATCTACTGCATTTCCTTCCAGGCCCGTTTTTATTATCTCTAAAGTTAGAAGGGGCACAAATGACAAAATGTTATAGTTTAGGAGTCAGTGGAAGTAACTAAACAGTGGAAGTTCCATCCACCTCCAAACCATAATTTTAAGTAACATTATATCTGCCTTTAACTGTCATTGCTCCTCCAGCCCCCCATGAAATGGACTTTCATTCTGAGAATAGATTGGCAGCAACAGCTGGCATTTTCCTTAGAAATAGTTGGCTTTGCCTCAAATATAACTTTCCCTGAAGCAGCTTGATGCTCACCAGAGCAGTTGACCTGCATCACAATATGTTCTCTCTTACATCTCCTCGATAGATATGAGATGAGCTGTTACTAAGCTCTGTCCAAGTCATTGGAGCTATGCATAAAAAATAAATAATTGTGCATGACTAAAATGAATGATCTATTATCAGATGCATTTGCATAATTAAGCTTGCTCAAAAAAATTGGCAGAGCACAAACTGGCAGAGTGGCGTTGCATAATATCGACCACAAAGCCTCAGACTGTGATTCTAGCAAAACACAATGAGGTCAGGACTCTGTGTGTGCAGATTAGATAAATGGATCAGCTCAGTGGCAGAAGAACAAACTGCATGCTTAGAATTTTTAAAATGTAACTCCTTTTTGTATAGAATAATATGACTTCTGAGCAAGAATGAGAGCTTGCGAGAGTGGTGGCTTACACCAACAGCAAGAAACCAGGCTGGTTGTCAGAATATTTGGGGCCTGGGTTTAGTTGCGTCTTGTATGTGTTTTCTGGCCTCTGGCCAGACACATAATCATCTTTGCTTCCATTTCATTTTTAAAATGGTGTAACAGTAGTTTCTGTACCTACATAATGAATTGTAAAAAGCACAGAGAAAGAAAATCTCCCACTGTGGGAAGACAAGCAGCCTCTAGATGCTCACGTCTTCACCCTGGAGTCAGCAGTGGGCATAGGTTTGCTGTCTGTTCTATAGGAATTAATTTTGAGCTGGATGAGTTATCCTTCTGACCTGTCCCTCTGCCTATTTCTCATGTCAGAAAGAAGCATCAGAGCCAGCAGCAACCAGCAGCCTGGGCTCTAGTCCAGTGTTTCCTGTAAAAGAGCCTCCAAGAGGGAGATACGGTCGAGAAAGGGGATGTGGTCTCTTCATAGACATGTACCCTGATAACCTAGAAAGGCAGACATCAGAGTACCACAGTACTGAAGGGAAAATCATCAGCACAAAGAAAACCTAAGATTTCTGTATTTTCCTTTTAACTTAAGCTTTTCTGCAACTCCCACAGGAAAACGCAGGCAACAGGCCAAGATTTATATTACCACTGATCCTGTTTGATTTTAAGAGAAGAAATTCTACTCAGATGTAAGTGTGATCTATCTGTGACATCTGTCACCTATTAGTTACAAGAGCTAATTTAGTTTCCTTCTCCTGTGTCATGCTTCTACTGGAGCTGCCTTCTTGGTCAAAGATAAACTTTTCAAATATGAAGACAGCTTTCTTTTCTATCAAGGATGCATAATATTCATATGCTTCAAATTTATGTTACCAACTTAAATGGTGCCGCCATTTTATTCATTATTGTCACTTGGAGGCCTCAAATTAGTGAAAATAGCTTCATGTGAGTTCATCTTCAAAGGCTTCTTTCCTTCAAGTGCTGATCAAATTCGACTGTCCAAAGCAAGTTGCTGTCTTCTCGTGGAAATGTATCTCTTTCAGCAGAGTGAGTAACTGTCGGGGACATTGTAGTAGACCTCAGGGAAGAACAAGAACTAGGAGAACAGAGGACGATGAAGACAGGGAGCATAGGGTCTAGTCTGGCCATGCAGACACTGGTGGGGAAAGGTAAGGTGGGGGAGAGCCCCTACTATGGGTAAGATCTCAGTGCTGTACTCTGAGTCCTTCAGAGTGAGTCCATGTCTCACTCAGAGTGAGATGGTGTCTCAAGAGGCTCTGTTTCAGCTCCCAAGCATAAACAGAAACTTTTAAAAAGTGACAAGGGAGAAATAGCTGAGAAATTGGAAATGGAGCAGTATGAAGAAAAGTAATGGTGAATATGAGAAAAATGGTAACAAAATAAAAATCACTGGTGTCTCTGCCGTACTTTTTACCAGTGACAAGAAGGAAAAGAAGGGGAAAAAGAGAAACTTCTGGCAGAGAAGGATAGGAGAAGGGCACCATTATATAAAGATTTGCTGTAATGATCTAAATAAAAAGGAATACAAAATACTTCTGGCAAGATATTACACAGTAGTAATGCCGATTATTGATTTCACTGGGATGGACTCAAGAGACCTGTTTGCTGCAATTCAAATCCTTGAAAATAAGTCATTCAATGTGAGCCAGAGAGCATCAGAAAAATTGGATTTTGAAGAGAGTATTAAAAGAAAAAAACGAACCAATGAGAGACCATACTTTGAAAGCTAAGGTTAAAAACATGTTTTTTTAATCTCCAGGGAGCAAACAATCACTAGAAGAGGCACTGTGACTGTTTTCAAAGGCATGATGTTGAACTGGCAGTCTCAGTAAAAGGGTTGGCTGGCTGGAAAGCTGAACTTGGAAATGAAAAACTGAAAGGAAACAATGAGAAATATTCACCTGATGCTTTCCACTTAGGGGTCCAAGATTAAAGATGATATTAAGGATGGTAAATATGTGCTAGAGATAGGTCATAAAGACAATCTGAGAGTTCTGTAGGGACAGAAGAAAATATTTTTGGTGTAAAAAGTATGTATAAAATCGCTTACTCCTTTGACACTAATAGATCTGACTGTTGAATCATTTACTTTTCTCATTGGTGATCTGTTGACTTCCTTGTCCTTCATTGCATTAGTCTGTTTTCACGCTGCTGATAAAGACATATCCGAGACTGGACAATTTACAGAAAAAAGAGATTTATTGAATTTACAGTTCCACATGACTGGGGAGGCCTCACAATCATGGCAGAAGGTAAAAGGCACATCTCACATTGCGACAGACCAGAGAAGAGAGCTTGTGCAGGTAAACTCCTGTTTTTAAAACCATCAGATCTCATGAGACTCATTCACTATCATGAGAACAGTGCAGGAAAGACCCGCCCCCATAATTCAATCACCTCCCACCGGCTTCCTCCCACAACACTTGGGAATTGTGGGAGTTACAATTCAAGATGAGATTTGGGTGGGGACACAGCCAAACCATATCACTCATCATGTTCACTGAAGACCTTGGCTTGTGGCTCATGATCTTTCTATTCACCTCATGACTGACTACCACTCTGGACAACTTCAATTCCCTCCAGACACATGCAAGGTAGACAATTGTCCTTCTCAATTCTGGTGACTTTTACCTCCATTTCAATTTTGCTACACAGACCTATATCCACATTATGGCTTTTACCATTCTCAGAACTTTCTACCTGTGACATTTCAATCATGTGTTTACTCATTCATTTCACAAATACCTATGGAATACCTACTTTGTGGCAACGACTGTGCCAATCACTGTAAATGCAGTTATAGTTAAAACAGACAATAATATCTTCCGTTATGGTGCTTATAAGCTATTGAAGGAGACAGAGACACTAGCAGGCAATTACAATGGAGTGTCATAAGTGCTTTGCTGGCATACGTTGGGGAGCTTGCAGGAAGAGCATCTAATTTGGATATAGGTTGTTATGTGAGCCTTTTTGGTACAAGTGATGTCTAAGCTGAGGCTTTAAGAATAAGGATGAGTTGCCCAGGGAAATGTGGGTGATGTATGGGAGAGGAACTGTGCCCCAAGGAAAGGAAATAATAGTTACAAATGTTTAGAGGTCAAAGGAAGTATGGCATACTTAGATATCTGAAAATTGTTTGGAATAGCCAGAATTGGTAACAAATTGACTCCCTATGTTGTTGAAGGAGAGGAGACACAAAAAGGATGCCCAGGTTTTGGCTTGAAGAAGGTGAGCATTGGTGTCGTGTACCGATAATGTCAGAGGAAAAGCAAAACTGGAGGAAAAAATGAGCTTAATTTAGGATGTGTTGAGTTCTATTAGGGAGGTACCCTTGTGGAGATGTTGAATCTTCCCTCAACATCATGGCCCACTTCCACTCTGAAGTACACAAGAACACACAAATGCTTTGTTACTTGCGTGAGACCCTGTGAGACCCAACTTAAGTGGCACCATTTTAGTGATGACCACTGTCCATCCACGCTAAATCCTACCATCCCACGTTTACCTCTATTGTGTCATACTGTGCTGGAGTTTCCTCTTTCGTTATACATCTCTTCCTCTGGCCTATAAATTCCCTTAGGAATAGGAAGTATGTTTTATATTTTTTAAAGCAGTAGCTTCAACAAATGTGTAATTTATTTTTTATCATTTATATTTTATTTTTTCAGCCCTTATTCAGCCCAGAATTTCGAATCCCATGAGACAATGCATTTCTTTCTTATTCTAAATTTTCTGTCATAATACAATAAATACTAAATCATAGCACAACATGCTAGTAGTATCACTTAAAACACTGTTACGACACATCTTTTGCCCATTGTTTGCATCTCCATCTTCAATGAATCTCAAGTAGGTGTATATTTAAGTTTAATAAATGATTACTTGCATGAATAAACAAGACGAAGTGAATAAACTATCATTTTAATAGCTTTGTAGAAAGAAATTGTCTTTGGGTAGAAAAAGTGAACTTCTAAACTTATAATTTGGAAGGATGCATTGCAGCAAAGAATAGGCTAAACTGCTGCCCATATGACACAAATAGGAATTTGAGGCTTCGGGACAAAAGGGAGGTATAGAATAAGGGGGAAGGGGAGACAGGTAATTGAGCCATTTCATGGAAGAAAGGTGGCCACTGAAAAAATCCTGCAGGTGGAGTGACTAAATATATGTATTAAAAATAGAACCTACTATATGATTTAGCTGATGGCACTGATGGAGTATACAATATCTTTGTCCCACAACCCCTCTGTAGGTCTCACTATCCTCAAATGCGATATGTGGGCACTTTTTGTGTAAACCCTTTCATTTTCTGTATTAAATTAAAGAGCAAAGAGAAAGAATAGCCATGGGAGACATGTGTGAGGGAAGCAAGGAATTCACTGAGAACAGGAATTCATATTTCTGAGACCAAAGGAAAGTGAGCCCAGAGGCATTCACCAAGAGTTGAGCGCCTACAAGATGGGGATGAGCAGTTGAAGTATGATGGTTAATTTGACTGGGCCACAGAGTATCCAGATATTTGGTTAAGCGTTATTCTTGGTGTGTCTTTGAGGGAGTTTCTGGAAGAGATTGACACTGAAGTTAGTAGACTGAATAAAGCAGATGCTCTCTGTAATGTGAGTGAGCCTCTTCCAATCCGTTGATGGCATGAACAGAGCAAATAGGCTGAGAGAGAGAATTCAACTTGCCTTGAAGACATTGGTCTTCTCCTGCTTTAGAATTTGGACTTGGACTGAAATTTACACCATTTGCTTTCCTAGTTCTCAGACTTTGGACTCAGACTGGAATTATACCATCAGCTCTCTGGGTTTCTAGCTTGCTGACTGAAGTTCTTTGCCTTCACAGCCTCCAAAATTATTTGAATAAATTTTATATAATTCTGTATAATAATCTCTCTTTCTCTCTCTTTCTCTGTATACATACATACATATATATAACATAGAGATTTATTTATATATAAATATATAGTTTTATAAAATTTTAAAAATTGTTATTTTATTTTTATTTTGGGGGAGGAACAGGTGGTTTTTGGTTACATGGATAAGTTCTTCAGAGGCGGTTTTTGAAATTTTGGTGCACCCATCACCCAAGCGGTGTATACCATACCCAATGTGTAGTCTTTTATTCTTCATCCCCCTCCCATCCTTACATTTGAGTCCCCAGAGTCCATTATATCATTCTTATTCCTTTGTGTCCTCACAGCTTAGCTCCCACTTATAAGTGAGAACATGCAACATTTTCCATTCCTGAGTTACTTCATTCAGAATAATAGTCTGCAACTCCACCCAGGTTGCTGTGAATGCCATTACTTCATTTCTTTTTACAGCTGAGTAGTGTTCCATGTTGTATACATACTACATTTTCTTTATTCAGTTGTTGGTTGACGGGCATTTAGGCTGGTTCTGCATTTTTGCAATTGCAAGTTGTGCTGTTATAAACATGTGTGCAAGTGTCTTTTTCATAGTTACATAAAAATTAACAGGTGGGAGGTTCCAAGATGGCCGAATAGGAACAGCTCCAGTCTACAGCTCCCAGCGTGAGCAACGCAGAAGATGGGTGATCTCTGCATTTCCAACTGATGTACCGGGTTCATCTCACTGGGGCTTGTCGGACAGTGGGTGCAGGACAGTGGGTATGAGAGGTGATGACGTGCACCCTCACTCACTTTTGGCACCTCCTCTGCCTGGGCTCCCACTTTGGTGGTACTTGGGGAGCCCTTCAGCCTGCCGCTGCACTGTGGGAGCCCCTTTCTGGGCTGGCCAAGGCTGGAGCCAGCTCCCTCAGCTTGCGGGGAGGTGTGGATGGAGAGGCGCGGGCGGGAACCGGGGCTGTGTGCGGTGCTTGCAGGCCAGTGCGAGTTCCAGGTGGGTGTGGGCTTGGCAGGCCCCGCACTCGGAGCGGCCAGCCGGCCCCAGGCAGTGAGGGGCTTAGCATCTGGGCCAGCAGCTGCTGTGCTCAATTTCTCACCAGGCCTTAGCTGCCTTCCCATGGGGCAGGGCTCAGGACCTGCAGCCCACCATGCCTGAGCCCCGCATTTTCCGTGGGCTCCTGTGTGGCCTGAGCCTCTCCGATGAGCGCCACCCCCTGCTCCATGGCGCCCAGTCCCATCAACCACCCAAGGGATGAGGAGTGCAGCACATGGTGCGGGACTGGCAGGCAACTCCACCTGCAGCCCCGGTGTGGGATCCACTGGGTGAAGCCAGCTGGGCTCCTGAGTCTGGTGGAGACGTGGAGAACCTTTATATCTAGCTAAGGGATTGTAAATGCACCAATCGACACTCTGTATCTAGCTCAAGGTTTGTAAACACACCACTCAGCACCCTGTGTCTAGCTCAGGGATTGTGAATGCACCAATCGACACTCTGTATCTAGCTACTCTGGTGGGGACTTGGAGAACCTTTGTGTCAACACTCTGTATCTAGCTAATCTGGTGGGGACGTGGAGAACTTTTGTGTCTAGCTCAGGGATTGTAAACGCCCCAATCAGTGCCCTGTCAAAACAGACCACTCGGCTCTACCAATCAGCAGGATGTGGGTGGGGCCAGATAAGAGAATAAAAGCAGGCTGCCCGAGCCAGCAGTGGCAACCCACTCGGGTCCCCTTCCACACTGTGGAGGCTTTGTTCTTTCGCTCTTTGCAATAAATCCTGCTGCTGCTCACTCTTTGGGTCCACACTGCCTTTATGAGCTGTAATACTCACCGCGAAGGTCTGCAGCTTCACTCCTGAGCCAGCGAGACCACGAACCCCACCAGAAGGAAGAAATTCTGAACACATCTAAACATCAGAAGGAACAGCACAACTCCGGACACGCCGCCTTTAAGAACTGTAACACTCACCGCCAGGGTCTGTGGCTTCATTCTTGAAGTCAGTGAGACCAAGAACCCACCAATTCCAGACACAGGTGCAGCACACAGAGCATGAGCCAAAGCAGGGAGAGGCACTGCCTCACCTGGGAAGTGCAAGGGGTCAGGGAATTCCCTTTCATAGCCAAGCAAAGCTGTGACAGACGGCACCTGGAAAATTGGGTCACTCCCACCCTGATACTGTGCTTTTCCAATGGTCTTAGCAAACAGCACACCAGAAGATTATATCCCATGCCTGGCTTGGAGAGTCCCATGCCCACGGAACCTCACTCATTGCTAACACAGCAGTCTGGGATAGAACTGCAAGGCTGCAGCAAGGCTGGGGGAGGGGCGCCTGCCATTGCTGAGGCTTGAGTAGGTAAACAAAGCAGCCAGGAATCTCGAAATGGGTGGAGCCCACCGCAGCTCAAGGAGGCCTGCCTGCCTCTGTAGACTCCACTTCCAGGGGCAGGGCATAGCCGAACAAAAGGCAGCAGAAACCTCTGCAGACTTAAATGTCCCTGTCTGACAGCTTTGAAGAGAGTGGTGGTTCTCCCAGTACAGAGTTTGAGAACGGAGAACGGATAGACTGCCTTCTCAAGTGGGTCCCTGACCCCTGAGTAGCCTATCTGGGAGGCACCCCCAAGTGGGGCAGATTGACACCTCACACGGCCGGGTACCCTTCTGAGACTAAACCTCCAGAGGAACGATCAGATAACAACATTTGCTGTTCAGCAATATTTGCTGTTCTGCAGCCTCCACTGCTGACACCCAGGCAAACAGGGTCTGCAGTGGACCTCCAGCAAACTCCAACAGACCTGCCACTGAGGGTCCTGACAGTTAGAAGGAAAACCAACAAACAGAAAGGACACCCACACCAAAATCCCATCTGTACGTCACCATCAGCAAACACCAAAGGTAGATAAAACCACAAACATGGGGAGAAAACAGAACAGAAAAACTGAAAATTCTAAAAATCAGAGTGCCTCTCCTCCAAAGGAATACAGCTCCTCACCAGCAATGGAACAAAGCTGGACAGAGAATGACTTTGATGAGTTGAGAGAAGAAGGCTTCAGATGATCAAATTACTCTGAGCTAAAGGAGGAAGTTCGAACCCATTAAGAAGAAGTCAAAAACCTTGAAAAAAGATTAGATGAATGGCTAACTAGAATAACCAATGCAGAGAAGTCCTTAAAGGACCTGACGGAGCTGAAAACCATGGCACAAGAACTACATGACGAATGCACAAGCTTCAGGAGCCGATTCAATCAACTGGAAGAAAGGGTATCAGTGATTGAAGATCAAATGAATGAAATGAAGTGAGAAGAGAAGTTTAGAGAAAAAAGAATAAGAAGAAATAAATAAAGCCTCCAAGAAATATGGGACTATGTGAAAAGACCAAATCAATGTCTGACTGGTGTAGCTGAAAGTGACTGGGAGAATGGAACCAAGTTGGAAAACACTCTGCAAGATATTATCCAGGAGAACTTCCCCAATCTAGCAAGGCAGGCCAACATTCAAATTCAAGAAATACAGAGAACGCCGCAAAGATACTCCTTGAGAAGAGCAACTCCAAGACACATAATTGTCAGATTCACCAACGTTGAAATGAAGGAAAAAATGTTAAGGGCAGCCAGAGAGAAAGGTCGGGTTACCCACAAAGGCAAGCCCATCAGACTAACAGCTGATCTCTTGGCAGAAACCCTACAAGCCAGAAGAGAGTGGGGGCCAATATTCAACATTCTTAAAGAAAAGAATTTTCAACCCAGAATGTCATATCCAGCCAAACAAAGCTTCATAAGTGAAGGAGAAATAAAATACTTTACAGATAAGCAAATGCTGAGAGATTCTGTCACCACCAGGCCTGCTTTACAAGAGCTCCTGAAGGAAGCACTAAACATGGAAAGGAACAACCAGTACCAGCCACTGCAAAAACATGCCAAAGTGTAAAGACCATCAATGCTAGGAAGAAACTGCATCAACTAATGAGCAAAATAACCAGCTAACATCATAATGACAGGATCAAATTCACATATAACAACATTAACCTTAAATGTAAATGGGCTAAATGCTCCAATTAAAAGACACAGACTGACAAACTGGATAAAGAGTCAAGACCCATCAGTGTGCTGTGTTCAGGAGACCCATCTCACGTGCAGAGACACACATAGGCTCAAAGTAAAAGGATGGAGGAAGATCTACCAGGCAAATGGAAAACAAAAAAAGGCAGGGGTCGCAATCTTAGTCTCTGATAAAACAGACTTTAAACCAACAAAGATCAAAAGAGACAAAGAAGGCCATTACATAATGGTGAAGGGATCAATTCAACAAGAAGAGCTAACTATCCTAAATATATATGCACCCAATACAGGAGCACCCAGATTCATAAAGCAAGTCCTTAGAGACCTCCAAAGAGACTTAGACTCCCACACAATAATAATGGGAGACTTTAACACCCCACTGTCAACATTAGATCAATGAGACAGAAAGTTAACAAGGATATCTAGGAATTGAACTCAGCTCTGCACCAAGCAGAACTAATAGACATCTACAGAACTCTCCACCAAAAATCAACAGAATATACATTCTTCTCAGCACCACACCACACCTATTCCAAAATTGACCACATAGTTGGAAGTAAAGCACTCCTCAGCAAATATAAAAGAACAGAAATTAAAACAAACTGTCTCTCAGACCACAGTGCAATCAAACTAGAACTCAGGATTAAGAAACTCACTCAAAACCGCTCAACTACATGGAAACTGAACAACCTGCTCCTGAATGACTACTGGGGACATAACAAAATGAAGGTAGAAATAAAGATGTTCTTTGAAACCAGCGAGAACTAAGACACAACATACCTGAATCTCTGGGACGCATTTAAAGCAGTGTGTAGAGGGAAATTTATAGCACTAAATACCCACAAGGGAAAGCAGGAAAGATCTAAAATTGACACCATAACATCACAATTAAAAGAACTAGAGAAGTAAGAGCAAACATATTCAAAAGCTAGCAGAAGGCAAGAAATAACTAAGATCAGAGCAGAACTGAAGGAGAGACAAAAAACCCTTCAAAAAAATCAATGAATTCAGGAGCTGGTTTTTTGAAAAGATCAACAAAATTGATAGACCACTAGCAAGACTAATAAAGAAGAAAAGAGAGAAGAATCAAATAGACGCAATAAAAAATGATAAAGGGGATATCACCACCGATCCCATAGAAATACAGCTACCATCAGAGAATACTATAAACACCTCTAGGCAAATAAACTAGAAAATCAAGAAGAAATGGATAAATTCCTCGACACATCCACCCTCCCAAGACTAAACCAGGAAGAAGTTGAATCTCTGAATAGACCAATAACAGGCTCTGAAACTGAGGCAATAATTAATAGCTTACCAACCAAAAAAAGTCCAGGACCAGATGGATTCACAGCCAAATTCTACCAGAGGTACAAGGAGGAGCTGGTACCATTCCTTCTGAAACTATTCCAATCAATAGAAAAAGAGGGAATCCTCCTTAACTCATTTTATGAGGCCAGCATCATCCTGATACCAAAGGCTGGCAGAGACATCACAAAAAAAGAGAATTTTAGATCAATATCCTTGATGAACAACGATGCAAAAATCCTCAATAAAATACTGGCAAAACGAATCCAGCAGCACATCAAAAAGCTTATCCACCATGATCAAGTGGGCTTCATCCCTGGGATGCAAGGCTGGTTCAACATACACAAATCAATAAACATAATCCAGCATATAAACAGAACCAAAGACAAACACCACATGATTATCTCAATAGATGCAGAAAAGGCCTTTGACAAAATTCAACAACCCTTCATGCTAAAAACTCAATAAATTACGTATTAAGGGGATGTATCTCAAAATAATAAGAGCTATTTATGACAAACCCTCAGCCAATATCATACTGAAAGGGCAAAAACTGGAAGCATTCCCTTTGAAAACTAGCACAAGACAGGGATGCCCTCTCTCACCACTCTATTCAACATAGTGTTGGAAGTTCTGGCCAGGGCAATGAGGAAGGAGAAAGAAATAAAGGGTATGCAATTAAGAAAAGAGGAAGTCAAATTGTCCCTGTTTGCAGATGACATGATTGTATATCTAGAAAACCCAATTGTCTCCACCTGAAATTTCCTTAAGCTGATAAGCAACTTCAGCAAAGTCTCAGGATACAAAATCAATGTGCAAAAATCACAAGCATTCTTATACACCAACAACAGACAAACAGAGAGCCAAATCATGAGTGAACTCCCATTCACAATTGCTTCAAGGAGAATAAAATACCTAGGAATCCACCTTACAAGGGATGTGAAGGACCTCTTCAACGAGAACTACAAACCACTGCTCAACGAAATAAAAGAGGACACAAAGAAATGGAAGAACATTCCATGCTCATGGATAGGAAGAATCAATATTGTGAAAATGGCCACACTGCCCAAGGTAATTTATAGATTCAATGCCATCCTCATCAAGCTACCAATGCCTTTCTTCACAGAATTGGAAAAAACTACTTTAAAGTTCATATGGAACCAAAAAAGAGCCTGCATTGCCAAGTCAATCCTAAACCAAAAGAACAAAGCTGGAGGCATCACATTACCTGACTTCAAACTATACTACAAGGCTACAGTAGCCAAAACAACATGGTACTGGTACCAAAACAGAGATATAGACCAATGGAACATAACAGGGCCCACAGAAATAATACCACACATCTACAACTATCTGATCTTTGACAAACCTGACAAAAACAAGAAATGGAGAAAGGATTCCTTATTTAACAAATGGTGCTGGGAAAACTGGCTAGGCATATATAGAAAGCTGAAACTGGATCTCTTCCTTACACCTTATACAAAAATTAATTCTAGATAGATTAAAGACTTAAATGCTAGACCTAAAACCATAAAAACCCTAGAAGAAAACCTAGGCAATACCATTCAGGACATAAGCATGGGCAAGGACTTCATGTCTAAAACACCAAAAGCAATGGCAACAAAAGCCAATATTTACAAATGGGACCTAATTAACCTAAAGATCTTCTGCACAGCAAAAGAAACTACCATCAGAGTGAAAAGGCAACCTACAGAATGGGAGAAAATTTTTTGCAATATACTCATCTGACAAAGGGCTGATATCCAGAATCTACAAAGAACTCAAACAAATTTACAGGAAAAAAACAACCCCATCAAAAAGTGGGCAAAGGATATGAACAGACACTTCTCAAAAGAAGACATTTATGCAGCCAACAGACACATGAAAAAATGCTCATCATCACTGGCCATCAGTGGAATGCAAATCAAAACTACAATGAGATATCATCTCGCACCAGTTAGAATGGTGATCATTAAAAAGTCAGGAAACAACAGGTGCTAGAGAGGATATGGAGAAATAGGAACATTTTACACTGTTGTTGGGACAGTAAACTAGTTCACCCATTGTTGAAGACAGTGTGGGGATTCCTCAGGGATCTAGAACTAGAAATACCATTTGACCCAGCCATCCCATTACTGGGTATATACCCAAAGGAATATAAATCATGCTGCTATAAAGACGCATGCACACGTATGTTTATGGCAGCAGTACTCACAATAACAAAGACTTGGAACCAACCCAAATGTCCAACAATGATATACTGGATTAAGAAAATATGGCATATATACACCACGGAATACTATGCAGCCATAAAAAATGATGAGTTCATGTCCTTTGCAGGGACATGGATGAAGCTGGAAACCATCATTCTCAGCAAACTATTGCAAGGACAAAAAACCAAACACTGCATGTTCTCACTCATAGGTGGAAATTGAACAATGAGAACACTTGGACACAGGATGGGGAACATCACACACTAGGGCCTGTTGTGGGGTGAGGGGAGGGGGGAGGTATAGTATTAAGAGATATACCTAATGTAAATGACGAGTTAATGGGTTCAGCACACGAACATGGCACATGTATACATATGTAACAAACCTATACATTGTGTACATGTACCCTAGAACTTAAAGTATAATAAATATATATATATATATTTTAAAAATTAACAGGCAAATGTATAAAGATACAGCTACAAATGTATCTATAATTGTTTCTGTTTCTCTGGAAAACCCAGACGAAAATATTCTTTTCCTTTTTAATCTCTATGTCTACAAAGCCACACTCATACAAATTTTTCAAGAACTGGCCTTATTTAAGGGAGGCTGGCCAGAGCATCTGAATGAGTCAGGATCTTATTCTCTCAGCCCAAATGTATGCAGGAAGGACATATGAGCCAAGAAGAAGGCAGTAAGATAAGACTCCAGGAACCATTAGAGGAATATAAAGAAGAAATTTTATTTCCAAAGAAGAAAATCTTATAATTTATAAGGAAAAGAGGAAGAATCTAGAGATAAATAAGAGCCACCATGAGAAAAACAGTAGAGAGAAAATTGTTCCTACAGAAGGAAGAAGACAAAAACTACTTGCAGTCTCATCAATATATGCAGCTTTGTCAAAAACCTGCAGGAAGAATGGAATAAGGGAGAAAAGATGCAGAAGAATTAATGTAGGGAGAGGCCATAGCCAAGGAGAGCAGCATGTCTATTGTAGGTGGAAATCCAAGTCCAAATTAATGTCAAATATCTGGGTCTGAGAGATGGCCAGAAGCACAAAGAGAGACAAAGAGAGAAGAGGGCTCAGAGGAACACTTGACAGAATAAGAAAAATGACCTGAACGTGGACAAGCATAATTCAAAATGGGAACATGCAACACAAATGGCAAAGGAACTCAAGGGGCACAATATGTTAGCTATGGGGCTATGAGAGAAGAAAATACTGATGTAATTTTTGTGAGAGGAACAAAGGTGGGACATGAAGAAGGGAATTGACTGCTCCCAAAGTACTGTATTGGAGGCTCTTCACTTCGGTAATAATGGCTTCACTTGGTAATAATAGCCCCAGTTATCCTAATAGTAACAGAAAGCAATATATCCTGGCTTAAGAAAGGGAAAAAGACTCTATTAGGAAGATGTTGGGTAACACACTCAAGGATAGCCAGACTGGGGAAGCATTTGAAACAGTAAATAAATAGTTACAAAAAGTAAAAATAAAAACCAGTCATGCCTTCTCTCCATCTCTGCTTCTCTCTGGACGTTCACTTTCTTTTCCCAGCACAGATGGTGGGTAGGAGATGCCTGCCCCAGAGCTTCCTAAGTGGACATCAGTTCATTTCAAACCACCCACACAGGGTGATTCATGGGGAGAGAATATGACTGGACATCTAGCAAAGGTGCTTTGGTAAAGGGGTGAGTCACACAGTATAAGTTGATCTGCAAAGACCACTTCCTACAGGTGGGCTGATTCTCAGAGGAATTAAGTTGTCATGAGCCAAGTATTACCATAAAGGTCATTACTGCTTTGGACAAATGAAAACATCAAAATGAGAAGAGGAAAAGATAGAAAATATTTTAAAATCATATATAACTGATATCACATACACAAAACCAGAAGAAGGGACACTGGTAATTAAAATGCAGAAAGAAAAGCAAGCATGTAAAGCAAAATTGTGTGATGAAAATAAAATCTAATTGATAGTAAAGCTCAATTATTTCTCCAGCTTCTGCTGTCTAGTTAACTGTGAATCTTCATCTATAAAATGATTCTACTTGGCAAATTGAAAACTGTAATTACAAAACAAGAAAAAGAGACTGAGTACTTTCTAATGCCAATTCTTATTCTGTTTGTGATTCTATCTGTAAGACAGGCATCCCCTTAAGACTGGTTACACTAAATACTAATAAAAATTATAAATTTTACAAATTGATGTAAAACTGAGAGATAAAATTTGAGGCATTTACAGAAGGCTGAGAAGAGAACTCTGCAAAGAATTTTAAAGACTATACTTTTAAGATAAAAATTGATGAATTTCTTAATAAGTGGATTTTTTTGGAAGATATTTTTCAAAAGAATTAGAACAAAACAAAAAGCTACATGGAGTGTCTTACCAAACCATTTGCTGCCTAAGTCATTCTATGTTTATTCAACAGAGGAATACACACTTGCCAAAGGAAAGGACTTTGGGAAAAAGGAAACAGACAAAAGACTTGGCAGTCATGAGACAAGGTCATGGGAATAAATGGGAGGGGCATGCAAAGAAGATTTAAAGAGGTACCCCCAAAGTATTTTATATTCTAATGTTTCATTATTTTCCAATAAGAACATAAAACAACTTATAGAATTCGTGAACCAAAGGAAGATAAAATAGGTTACAGTGTGCAACCACAAAGGCAGGAAGAATATAAACTAGATCCAAGAAGGAGGTTAATTACAAAACAGGAATATGGTGAACAATTTTTATTATGCATTTTCAATAAATGAGGCACAAATTTATCTCTATGATTTTTAGCCATCAACAAAAACAGAAAAACCTAATGGATTATATAACCCACAGTGTTCACAGGATACAAACAATACAATTTCCTTGAAGAAGTTCAACCATTCTTAGTAGAGTGTGAGTGCCTTTTATGAGAATTTAGTAGTGCAATGTAAAACTGGTAATAAATTCCTGCAATGAGGTGTTATATCATCTTACACCAATCAGGATGGCTATTATTAAAAAGGTAAAAAAATAATAAATGTTGGAGAGGATGTAGAAAAAAGGGAGCTCTTATACACTGTTGATGGGAATGGTAATTAGTATAGCCATTACAGAAAACAGTATGAAGATTTCTCAAAAAACTAAAAATAGAACTATTATATAATCTAGCAATATTATTACTAGGTATCTACCCAAAGGAAAAGAAAGTATTATATAAAAAAGACACCTAGACTCATATGTTTATTGCAGCACTATTCACAATAGCAAATACATGGAATCAATCCAAGTGTCCATTAACAAAGGAT
This sequence comes from Homo sapiens, assembly GCF_000001405.40. Taxonomy (NCBI): domain Eukaryota; kingdom Metazoa; phylum Chordata; class Mammalia; order Primates; family Hominidae; genus Homo; species Homo sapiens. The sequence goes on along the minus strand of NC_000010.11, from coordinate 90,110,225 downwards.
TGGATAAAAAAATGTGGTACATATACACAATGCCAAGGCTCTATGAGGCATTTATATAACATTCTTCCTGTTGCCCCAAATGATTGCTTTAAAAACTACTTTTGATATCACCTGCATGATGCAAATCATTTATGCTGAACCTGTTGGTGGCTTTGTGAATCATAGAAAAATGTCAGTATGTGACATGATTTATAAATAAGATAGAATCTGAACTCACCTTTTTCCCTTTTCTATTATATGGATTGCCATGATGTGGGGAGAGATAGAATAGCTAGAAGAATTGGAGGTGGGGGTTGAGATAATATAATATGAAGGCTTGGAGATGGGCATCATCCACCTGCCTTTGCAAAGGAAAAAATCAGCCAATCAAATCACTGATTATCTCTGTTTTATTTATCACAGGACCGTAAATGGCCACAGCTACGTAAGGCAAAATAGGGACTACTGGCTAAAAGAATTTGTGTTTCTACATCCTCATTTTTCTTCCAGCACCAAAGGCAAGGTTCTGCAGAAGAAAACTCAATAAATGTACATTGAATGAATTTGTTGAATGAAATTGACAACCAGTTTGCAGAATTCAGACCAGATATATCAGTTGCGTCAGACGAATGACTTGGGGCCCTTGGCATACGGATAATTACTTCTACCCTCCACTTTTCAACACTGACCTATCTCAGATGGAGTTATCCATGTGAGCCTGGACTTGATCCTGGTAATAAAGGTAACTTTGAGGAGGGAAGAAAGACGTAGAAAATCTGAACCGGCCCTATGTCTGGACCAGCCCTGTGCCTTCAACTTTACAATAATCTGAGAATGCTTACAGCCATAAAGGTTTAAATATTTCTTCATAGGCCCTTAGGGAAGTACTATTTTATTAATGCTTTATATTGCTAAAAATCCCAACTTGGAAAACCAGTATATGTGGTGCTAAAATACCACTGTATTCCTTGAAATAACAGAATTCTGTCATGCATTGATAATAGGATTCCACATTTTAATGACAGCTTCAAACATTATTTACACAGTCCAACAGATCATCACTGCACCAGTGAACACCTACCTTTAGATAAGTTTTATGTTTGCTGGTCAAACGTTTCATAACGAGCATATGCAAAGAAAAACACCATGGGATTAACCACATCTGTGCAATTACTCAAGTTTGTTTGTTTGTTTTTTAGTTTTTAATTTTTGTCAGTACATGGTAGGTGTATATTTTTATTGGTTACATAAGATATTTTGATACAGGAATGCAATGCATAATAATCACATCAGGGTAAATAGGGTATCCCATCACCTCAAGCAATTATTCTTTGTGTTATAATCTAATTATATACTTTCAATTAATTTGAAATGTGCAATTAAATTATTTTTTACTATAGTCGTGCTGTTTTGCTAGCAAATACTAGGTCTTATTTATTCTTTCTAACTATTTTTTGTACCCATTAACCATGCCCTTCCCCCTTCCCGTCCCACCCCCACTAACGTTCCCAGCCTGTGGTAACCATCCCTCTGCTCTTTCTCCATGACTTCAATTGTTTTAAATTCTAGCTCCCACAAATAAGTGAGAACATGCAAAGTTTGTCCTTCTTTGCCTATTTCTTTGCCTGGCTAATTTCACTTAATATAATGACCTCCAGTTCCACCCACGTTGTTGCAAATGAAAGAATTTCATTCTTTTTTATGGTGGAATAGTAAGCCATTGCACATATGTACCAAATTTGCTTATCCATTCATCTGTTGATGGACACTGTATTAGTCCCTTTTCACATTGCTGTGAATAAAGGAGACTACCCCTCATATCGCCTTATGTCCAATTTCTGCCTCCAAAGAAAGAAAAAGTAAAAACTAAAAGGCAGAAATGAAATCCACAAGCAGACAGCCCGGCGCCACACCCTAGGCCTGGTAGTTGAAGATCGACCCCTGATCTAATCAGTTATGTTATCTATAGATTACAGACATTGTATAGAAAAGCACTGTGAAAATCCCTATCCTGTTTAGTTCTGATCTAATTACCAGTGCCTGCAGCCCCCAGTCACGTACCCCCTGCTTGCTCAATCGATCACGACCCTCTCACGCACACCCCCTTAGAGTTGTGAGCCCTTAAAAAGGACAGGAATTGCTCACTTGGGGGCTCAGCTCTTGAGCTAAGAGTCTTGCTGATGCCCCTGGCTGAATAAACCCCTTCCTTCTTTAACTCGGTGTCTGAGGAGTTTTGTCTGTGGCTTGTCCTGCTACATAAGGAAATACCTGAGACTGGGTAAATTATAAAGAAAAGAGGTTTAATTGACTCAAAGTTCCACATGGCTGGGGAGGTCTCAGGAAACTTACAATCATGGTGGAAGGCAGCTCTTCACAAGGCAGCATGAGAGAGAGTGAGTGTCAGCAGGGAAAATGCCAGATGCTTATAAAACTATCAGATCTCTTGAGAACTCACTCACTATCATGAGAACAGCATGGGTGAAACCAGCTCCATGATTCAATTACCTCCCACCAGGTCCCTCCCATGACACATAGGGATTATGAAGATTACAATTCAAGATGAGATTTTGGTGGAGACACAGCCAAACCATATCATTCTGCCCCTGTCATTTCCCAAATCTCATGTCCTCACATTTCAAAACACAATCTTGCCTTCCCAACAGTCTCCCAAAGTCTCAATTCATTTCAGCATTAACTCAAGAGTCCAAGTGCAATGTCTCATCTGAAACAAGGCTAGTCCCTTTCACTTATGAGCCTGTAAAATCAAAAGCAAGTTAGTTACTTCCTAGATTCAATGGAGGCACAGGCTTTGGGTAAATAGATCCCTTAAAAATAGAAGAAATTAGCCAGAATGAAGGGACTACAGGCCCCATGCAAGTACGAAACCCAATAGTGTCATTGTCTTGGTGATTAGCATTTGGCTACTTGTTACTTATCCAAATTTCTGCAGCTTGAATTTTTTCCAAAAAAATGGAATTTTCTTTTACTGCATCATCGGGCCACAACTTTTCCAAACTTTTATGCTCTGTCACCTCTTGAGTGCTATGCTACTTAGAAATTTCTTCTGCCAGATACCCCAAATCATCTCTCTCAAGTTCAAGGTTGCACACATCTCTAGGGCAGGGGCAAAATGCTTCCAGTCTCTTTGCTAAAGCATTACAAGAGTAAGCTTTACTTCAGTTTCCAACAAGTTCCTCATCTCTGAGATCACCTCAGCCTGTACTTTATGGTCTATACTATCAGAATTTTGGTCAAAGCCATTCAACAAGTCTCTGGGAAGTTCCAAACTTTCCCACATCTTCCTGTGTTCTTCTCAGCCCTCCAAACTGTTCCAACCTCTGCCTGTTACCCAGTTCCAAAGTCACTTGCACATTTTTTAGTATCTGTGTAGAAGCACCTCACTACCGTGGTACCAATTTACTGTATTAGTCTGTCTCACATTGCTATAAGGAAATAACTGAGACTGGGTAATTTATAAAGAGAAGAGGTTTAATTGACTCACAGTTCCTCCTGACTGGGGAGGCCTCAGAAAACTAACAATCATGGTGGAAGGCACCTTTTCACAAGGCAGCAGGAGAGAGAATGTGTGTCAGCAGGGGAAATGGCAGATGCTTATAAAACCATTAGATCTCATGAGAACTCACTCACTATCACCAGAACAGCATGGGGGAACCACCCTCATGATTCAATTACCTGCCACCAAGATCCCCCATGACATGTGGGGGGTTATAGAGATTACAATTCAATATGAGATTTGGGTAGGGACATAGTGAAACCATATCAGATACTTAGGTTGCTTCTAAATCTTGGCTATTTTGAATAGTGCTGCAATAAACATGGGAGTACAGATATCTCTTTGATATACTGATTTTCTTTCTTTTGAGTAGATACCTAGCAGTGGGATTGTTGGATCATATGGTAGCTCCATTCTTAGTTTTTGAAGAACCTAGGAACTGTTCCCCACAGAGGTTATACAATTCACATTCCCACCAACAGTATACAAGCATTCCCTTTTCTCCACATCCTCGCCCGCATTTGTTACTGCCTGACTTTTGAGTATAAGCCATTTTAACTGGGGTGAGAGGATATCTCATCGTAGTTTTGATTTGCATTTCTCTGATGATCAGTGATGTTGAGCACCTTTTCATATACCTGTTTGCCATTTGTATGTTTTCTTTTGAGAAATGTCTATTCAAATCCTTTGCCCATTTTTTAATCAGATTATTGGATTTTTTCCTTTAGAGTTATTTGAGCTCCTATATATTCTGGTTATTAATCTCTTGTCAGATGGGTAGTTTGAAAATATTTTCTCCTATTCTGTAGGTTGTCTCTTCATTTTGCTGATTGTATCCTTTGCCATGCAGAAGCTTTTTAAATTGATGTCATCGCATTTGTCCATTTTTGCTTTGGCTACCTGTGCTTCTGGGGTATTACTCATGAAATTGTTGCCCAGTTAAATGTCCTGAACAGTTTCCCAATGTTTTCTTGTAGCAGTTTCATAGTATTTTGTCTTAAAGTCTTTAAACCATATTGATTTGATTTTTGTATATGGGGAGACATAGAGACCTAGTTTTTTTTCTCCTGCACATGGATATCCAGTTTTCTTAGCATCACTTATTGAAGAGATTGTCCTTTCCCCCAATGTATGTTCTTGGTACTTTTGTCAAAAATAAGTTTACTGTACAGGTATGAATTTATTTCTAGGTTCTCTATTCTGTTGCATTGGTCTATGTGTCTAAACAGAACCATATAATGCTTATGCCAGTACCATGCCATTTTGGTTACTATAGCTCTGTAGTATCATTTGAAGTCAGGTAATGTAATTCCTCCACAGAGCAATATCCCATATCCATATAAAAGAATGATCTTCATAATGTATTGTTAAGCTCAAATTCCTAATATTTTGTTGAGAATTTTTCTATCAATATCCATCAGGGATATTAATTTGTCTTTGGTTGGTTTTTGTATCAGAGTAATACTGGCCTCATAGAATGACTTTGGAGGTATTCTGTCTTCCTGTATTTTTTAGAACAATTTGAGTGGGATTGGTAGTAGCTTTTCTTTAAATATTTGGTAGAATTTAGCAGTGAACCCATTGGGTCCTGGATTTTTCTTTACTGGAAAACTTTTTATTATGGCTTTGAAATCATCACTTGTTATTGGTCTGTTCAGGTTTTTGATTTCTTCATGGTTTAATCTTGGTAAGTTGTATGTGTGTAGGAATCCATTTTATCCATTTCTTCAAAGTGTTACAACTTATTGTCATATAGTTACTCAGAGTAGTCACTAGTGATCTTTTGAATTTCTGAGGTATCAATTGTAATGTCTCCTTTTTCATCTCTGATTTTATTCATTTGGGTCTCCTGTCTTTTCCTCTTAGTCTGGTTAGAGGTTTTTCAATTTTGTTTATCTTTTCAAAAAAATAACATTTTGTTTTGTTGATGTTTTTTGTTTGTTTAAATTTTATTTATTTTTGCTCTGATTTTTATTTCTGTTCTTCTACTAATTTTGGGTTTGGTTTGCTCTTGCCTTTTGAGTTCTTTAACACGTATTATTAAGTTGTTTACTTGAAAATTTTCTACTTTTTTTGATGTAGGTGCTTATTTCTATAAACATTCATCTTCATACTGCTTTGCTGTATCCCACAGCTTTTGATATGTTGTGTTTCCATTTCCATTTATTTCAAGAAATATTTACATTTCTTTCTTAATTTCTTCACTGACCACTGGTCATTCAGGAACATATTGTTAAATTTCCACATGTTTTTACATTTTCCATAATTCCTCCTGTTATTGATTTCTAGTTTCATTCCACTGTGGTCAGAGAAGATGCTTGATATTACTTCAATATTTTTTAATGTTTTAAGACTTGGTTTGTGACCTAACATATGATATATCCATAACAATGGGCCATGTGCTGAGAAAAAATGTGTATTCTATAGCCACTGAGTGAAATCTTTTGCAAATATTTTTAGGTTCAATTGGTCTATAGTACAAATTAAATTGCTATTTCTTTGTTGATTTCTTTCTGGAAGATCTGTCCAATACTGAAAGTGAGGTGTTGAAGTCTCCAGCTATTATTGTATTAGGGTCTAGCTTTCTTTTTAGCTCTAAAAATATTTCCTTTATATATCTGAGTGCTCCAGTGTTGGATGCATATATATATATTTATAATTGTCATATCCTCTTCCTGAATTTATTCCTTTATCATTATCTGGTGACCTTCTTTGTCTCTTTTTATAGCTTTTGTCTTAAAATCTATTTTGTCTGATATAACTTTAGGTACTCCTGTTCTTTTCTGGTTTCCATTTGCATGGAATTTCTATTTCCATTCCTTAATGTTCAGTCTATGAATATATCTATAGGTGAAGTGTGTTTCTTCTAGGCAATAAATCATTGAGTCTTCTTTGTTATCAACTCAGCCATTTTATGACTTTTTCTTGGAGAATTTAGTCCATTTACACTCAATGTTATTATTGATAAGTAGGGACTTACTCCTGCCATTTTGTTATGTGTTTCCTGGTTGTTTTGTTGTCTTCTTTTCCTTCTTTCCTGTCTTCCTTTTAGGGAAGGTGACTTTTGCTGGTGGTATAATTTAATCACTTGGTTTTTATTTTTTGGAAATCTTACATTTTTTGTGATTTGAGTTTACCATGAGGCTTGTAAATACTATCTTATAACCCATTATTTTAAGTGGATAAGTTAATACTTTTTTTATAAACAAACAGATAAACATTTAAAAAACTGACAAAAACTCTACACCTTAACTCTGCTTTTTAACTGTTTCTTGTTTCCATTTTTATCTTATTGTACTGTTTGTATCTTGAAAAGCTGTTGTACTTATCTTTGATTGCTTCATCTTTTAGGGTTTCTACTTAAGGTAAGGGTAGTTTATATATCATAGTTACAGTGTTATAATAGTCCATGTTTTTCTGTGTACTCAACACTGAGTTTTGTGCCTTCAGATGATTTCTTATTGCTCAATAATGTCCTCTTCTTTCAGATTTTAGAACTCTTGTTAGTATTTCTTGTAGAACAGGTGTAGTATTCATGCAATTTCTCGGCTTTTGTTTGTCTGGGAAGTCTTTATTTCTTCTTCATGCTTAAAGAATATTTTCACTAGATATGCTATTCTAAGATAAAAGTTATTTTTTCTTGAGCACTTTAAATATATCATGCCACTCTCTGCTGACCTGTAAGGTTTCCATGAAAAAGGCAGCTGCCAGATGTATTGGAACTCCATTGTATGTTATTTGCTTCTTTTCTCTTGCTGCTTTTAAGATCCTTTCTTTATCTTTGACCTTTAGGAGTTTGATTATTAAATACCTTAACCTTTGGGAGTTTGATTATTAAATGCCTTGAGGTAGTCTTTGGGTTAAACTTGTTTAGTGTTCTATAACCTTCTTGTACTTAGATATTGCTATCTTTCTCTTGGTTTGGGAAGTTTTCTGTTATTTTCCATTTGAATAAACGTTCTACCTCTATCTCTTACTCTACCTCTCCTTTAAGAGCAATAACTGTTAGATTTGCCCTTCGAGACTATTTTCTAAATCTTGTAGGTGTGATTTATTGTTTTTTATTATTTTCTGTCTTCTTGACTGTGTATTTTTAACTAGGCTGTCTTCAAGCTTACTAATTATTTCTTCTAATGATCAATTCTGCTATTAGGAGAATGTGATGGATTCTTCATATGCTGATTGCATTTCTCAGCTCCAGAATTTCTGCTTGATTCTTTTTAATTATTTCAATCTCTTTGTTAAATTTATTTGGTGGGATTCTGAATCTCCTCTCTGTGTTATCTTGAATTTTACTGAGTTTCCTTTAAAGAGCTATTTTGAATTATCTCTCTGAAAGGTCACATATCTGTATTTCTCCAGGATTGGTTCCTAGTGCCTTATTTAGTTCTTGATGCTTGTGGATGTTCATTGGTGTCTGTGCATCAAAGAGTTAGGTATTTATTGTAGTCTTTGCAATCTGGGCTTGTTTCTATCTATCCTTCTTGGGAAAGCTTTCCAGGTTTTCAAAAGAACTTTGGTATTGTGATCTAAGTCATATCTACATTAGAGGGCACTTCATGGACAGCAATGCAGTGGTTTTTGCAGACTCATAGAGATGCCACCTTGCTGGTCTTGGATAAGATTTCTCTGGATTACCAAGCAGAGACTTCTGTTCTCTTCCCTTATATTCCCCCAAACAAATAATCTCTCTCTCTCTCTCTCTCTCTCTCTCTCTCTCTCTGTTCTGAGCTGCCTGGAGCTATGGAGCTATGGATGGTATGACAGAAGCTGTCCTGTGGCCACCATCACTGAGACTATACTGGGTCAGATCTGAAGCCTGCACTGTACTAGGTCTCACCCAAGGCCTGCTGTGACCACTCCCTGGCTACTGCTTGTGTTCACTCAAGGACCTGGGGCCCTACAATCAGCAGGTGGTGAAGCCAGCCAGACCAGTGTCCTTTATTTCAGGGTGACAAGTTCCCTCTGGTACCAGGTGGGTCCAGAGGTGCTGTCTGGGAACCTGGGACTGAAGTAAAAAATCTTAGAAGTTTACCTGGTGTTCTATTCTACTGTGACTGAACTGGCACTCAAATCACAAGACATTGTCTTTCCCACTCTCTTTCCATTTTCTACAGGCAGAGGAGCCTCACCCCATGGCCACCATTACCACAGGCTCATGAGGAGTACTGCCAGTCACTGCCAATATTCACTTAAGGTCCAAGGATTCTTCTGTCAGGTTATGGTGAATGCTGCCTGGCCTCAGAATCACCCTTAGGGCAGTGGATTACCCTTCTGCTCAGGGTAGGTCCAGAAATGCCACACATAAGTCAAGGCCTGAAATCAGGAACCCCAAGAGGACTCTTGGTGCTGTAACCACTTGTGGCTGAGCTGGTTCCTGACTTTTGTTTCTTATGAAGGGATTTTTTTGTGTAGTTTTTTAAATTTGGTGTTCCTACATAGAAACAATTGATGGAGTCTTCTATTTGCCATCTTACTCCACCCAAGAGATCCAAATGCTCAAGTTTGATGACTTCTGGAGGGTGCTAATATGCCCATGTCACAAATTATGAAGTTACAGAGATTTGATCTGTATCAAGCCTCTGAGTGACTTATTTTATTCTTAGGTACACCCATTGACACTGGGTTCAAAAGGTATGTTTGTTTTGCTTGTATTTTTTTTTAAGTCCTTCACTGAACATTAAAATTAAAAATTTCTTAAAATGATTACATGAGGCCAGAAACTGGGACCCTGGAAACTTATTTTGTTGGGGGCAGAGACTCTTCTTTGTGGAATAAACATTCAACCATCCCCAGATGTTGGAAATGTAGCATGTAGAAATATAGATTAAGCCTTTGTCCTGAGAGAACTGTCTTTACTAATGCCCGGAGTCCACTATTGCCTGAGAGATGATAACTATCACTTGAATTTACTCTAAAGAGAAATTGAATTTTTAAGGTCTGTGAGGTAGATCCTAAACTATGACAATTCTCCTTAAAAGTATTTTCTCTGTGTTCTAGATTGATTTTCTTTTGTCATAATTTGGATCCCTGGATTTGACCAAAGACAATTAGAAGGTGCTTCTCTGAACTCTATGGCATTCTTCTGCAATTTGGGATCAGGTTAGACTATGAGAAACTTAAAGGGTTAACCAACTGCTATAGACTGAAGTTTTGTGTTCTCTGCCTGTCCCTGCCTCCCTTGAAAAAAATACATACTTTGAAACCTAACCTTAATGTGATAGTATTTGGAGGTGGGACCTTTGGGAGTTGATTGGGTCATGAAGGTGGAGCACTCATGAATGGGATAAATACCTTATAAAAGAGATTCCAGAGAGCAGCCTCATTCCTTCCACCATGTGAGGGCACAGCTGGATGGTGCCATCTATGAATCAGGAAGCAGGCCCCCACCAGACACCAAATCTGTTCACCTCTTGATCTTGGACTTCCAAGCCTCCAGAACTGTGAGAAATAAAATTATGTTGTTTATAAGCCACCCAGTCTATAGCTTTGTTATAGCAGCCAAAATAAATTTAAAAATTAGTCCTGGCAGATGCTACAAAGCAGAATACTTTCACCTTCTTTTCCTACTGAATGCTCACTTCATTTCAAAGTGTAAATTGGCTTACAAAGAAAAGCAATATTGACCCATGTTGCCAGTGTAAAAAGTGGTAGGGGAAAGAAAATGGGAAAATCTTCCCTCCAGCCTATGATCTGTGTGACATAACCAAGCCATAGAAAAAGAGTCATGGATGGCATCTTGCATGTGTTTGGTCTCTCTGTGCCTCACATTTACAGCTAATAGCGGGTTTGTCTTGTGAGATATATGCTGCCAAATAATCAGTCAGAGCTTAGCATCATATTTGTTAAATAGGTTTTCTACTAGTCTGCAGTTAAATGTAAATAAATGTAATAGGATGCATGTATTTATGAATGGGAAATGACAAAGAAACTAGTGTCAAAATGACGTCCAGGGAATTCAGATTAATTTGCATCTGCTCATCCTGTGCCTGCTGCAAATTAAGAATGATTGTGTCTTATCTACAGCTTTAAAAACCTAAAAATTATGTTACAGTGTGTAATATATCATCCTTCCAAATCGTCATGAGAGATTTTTGTCACTTTTATAACCACTACATCTAAATAATTAAATGATTATTGATTTTTTAAGTTATTTTATGTAATATATTAAGATCTCATGGCTCAGAACCTTATCAATTAGACTTCAACAACACGCTGTCAATAAATTAAAAAGCACCATGGAGACAAATTATTCAAATATACTCTTGCCAAAGTACATACTGATATTAATATACTGACATTAACTTAGTATTTAAATTGGTTTTTGTACTCTTTTCTGAGAAAAATCTTACTTTTACCTCTGTACTTAAAAGTGTCTTTTCCCCAGAGCACATAGTTTAATTATGCATCTACATTGTTGATGGAAAAGGCAAAGTTAGCAAGTAAATTGCTACATAATCACAGCCCAGCAGCTCTTAAAATGGCAGTGGATTGAGGAAAATTAATAGCAATTTTACAAATGTAATAGAGTGCATGGGAAATACTCTGCTAATACTCACATCCAAATGCTTTTCTTTCCCAGTCAGCTTTTGAGTAGAAGAGGGGAGTATTCACTTAAATTCCACTGACTATATACTACCCTGAATCAAACTGAGGAGTTAATGAAAATTTCAATGAAGAGTTGAACAAAGAAGGGAACCCTACAGGGGTATGCTATTTATTTATACTTTCATTCAGGGGATATTTATGTAACACTCAATTATACCAGGATCTATTTCATGCAGGTTCAAAAACAAACTTGTAGTAAAATCTATAACCTAGGATGGAATCTATTTCTAAGGTTAGTTTATTTTATCAGAGGAAACTGGGTGTATTCTTAATGTGTCATGTAAAATTTGGAGGTGGAATTCCACCAGGCAAAATAACTTAGAGATTAATATAGTGGGCATAGAGTTAGACTGCCTGAGTTCAAATAATTGCTTCACCATTCACCAACTACATGACCTTGGGCAACTTACAGAAACATTCTGAGCTTTAATTTTCTCATTTGTTTGATACTAAAAGTAACTACCTCTTAAGATTCTTAAGTATGACAGCATATACTCTGAGTTTTGTTAGCCTTTATTATTCAGAATGCTTAATGGTACCTGAATGGCCTCTGAGACAATAAAGCTGACTTAGTCACTAAAGCTATCTTATTTTCATGGTAGATATGTTGGTAGAGTCAATTCCAACAGACTAAAATAGTGTATGTCACATACATCCTTCAGAGTCTGAGTTTAAACCCCGCTGGCAGATTGGGGAACAAAGTGGAAGCCAGACTATTTACCTCAGTAATTTTTATACGGCAACAGGAAAGGCTTTAGCTGATGGGTACATGTAAAAAATGATGAGGTGCTTTATTTTTTCAGCCCCTGAGCATTCTTCTGCACAAAATCTTTCAGTGTTTAATCTCCAAAGCTTTCTGAGTTTAGAAGCTCTTAAGAGCTAACATGCATATACTGTGACAAAAAAACTGAAGCTCTATGAATTCAAAGTTATATATCTTTATGTAATTTTCCACAAAGATTACATTTCATTGTCTTTACAAAATAGTTTTACATGAAAGTTCAAACTCTTTCTAGGTATTAGAATAAACTAAGTTGTACCCAGGACACATTACAGACAATAGGTAAATTCAAGCTCTGTCTAACTGATCATTTGATTTTCAACTATCTGAAACATGGCTTGTGGTAGGTTGACCATGGTGGTATTATTTGTCATGAAGAAGACACAAATGACTGACACAGAGACAGATAATTTCCCCACACATACAAAAAATGAAGATTTGATAATTACTTGGTTCATTTTATTCAATCAAGTCTTTGAAACTCCTATTCTGTACTAAGTGCTGGGCAAAATTAAAATAACATACAAAGCCATTTCCATCTTCAAAGTGCTTATAAGTCAAATAGAGAAAATGAATATACACATAAATATACACAGTTCTATGTATGCGGTTTATGCAAAGTACTCAGCATGAATTAAGTAGACCAGAAACACAAAGAAGGAAGGAATCTTTGCTGAGATGCTCATATAAAGCTGAGGTGAGATGGTAGTATTAACTGAGCTGTAAAGGATTAATAGAATTTTTCATAGAATATCATAGGCGTTCAAATAGTACTTGTTCAAGTAATTATTAACAACATTTTAATAAGATGTAGGGTAGCCATTCTAAGTTGAGAGACCTGTGTGATTTAAGCCCTGTAGAAATCTTACTGGTCTTTCAAAATCCAAGACCAAATCAATCTCCCCTTCTAAGATTTATCTGATTCCCCCAATCCTATTTATAACTGATATCTTCCATTGCTACGGACTACTTGGAATGATAGAAATTCCTATGCTTATTTTAGCCCCATCAGTAAGCCATAGGCTTCTTAATAGCAACATTTTCATCTTATTTATCTTTATTCATAAACATTCCATTGACATGAACAATTATTTGTTTAAAGATCAAATGAACCTAAGAACAAATTGGTGAATGCTCTAAAGATAATCCAAGCTTTCCATGCTTTGTGCTGTGATGTAACTGGTTCTGGAAGTGTGCAAACTGAATTGGATACCACTAAAAGAGAAACTTAGAGAACGGATTTGTTTATTCTCGAGCTTTCTACTGAGAAACCAAACATCTAAATCGAGTCATATAGTTTGAACTAGCTGCCCCTGACTTATTTTTATCACTCTTGTCTCCATTTATATAAAGAAAAAAGAGGAATTAGGCAAAGACCAAATAGGTTGAATCAACATCAATAATCAATTTTGAATACCCTTTTGTTTCCCTTCAGTAGCAGATTATTTTCATTTTTCCCTAAATTGCTCAAATGACAAGGTGAAATTTCCATTTCACTTTTCCTGTGAACCTAAGTGTTAGTTAAAGTTAAATCTTTATTATATGTACATACATCTGCCCAGAATTCCAAAGTCTAGAAACTTCTCTCAGGAAGAAATCAAGTAAGAACTCCTGGTAACTATAGCTCATATAGACCAAGAATTGGAATTAATTGAGCCAAACTATTATGTTTCCATCATCTATTGTACAGTGAAAAGAGCAACTAGAAGTTTGGCAAGCAGGGTTTTTGTTCTTATACTGCCATTTGCCACAATTCGTGAGACCTGGGAAATAATTACTCACTTGGTTTCCCCATTTATAAAATCTATTTCCCTCCCAAGGCTAAGATTTTATTACTCTAAAGGTAAAATCTCTTCCCTACAGCTGTTGAAATCAGTGGCAGAGAACTGGGCTTACGATATGACGGTCTGGCCCAAGATAGCATTTTCACTTTTTAATATCTTCCACATGAGGCTTCATCGTGTAAGTATAGATACACATCACTTTCCAGCCTTTTCATCTGGAAGGTTTTAGAAGCCAATCAGCAGTTTGTTTTTTCTCTTTGTTTGTGACTTTTTTGGAATTTGAGTGAATAGAACAGGAAACAATTTTATGTAGCAGATAGAAGAGATAGCTCTGCGTAGGCCTCAGCAAAACTATTAAATAGGCCAAATTAGTTTCACCCGATTTTACCTTTGTTCTGCCAGTATTTGTGCAGATTCAGGTCCCAAGGTATTATTTCTCCTAGTCTGCATTATTCTTCACTTAACCCCATTAGTAGACCAAGGGTCTCTATCTGAAATGTCTGCACGAACCAGGAAGGTAACATAATTGGGCCAAGTACGATACAAGAAAAGTGAGTTTGGGATCAACAGCAGAGTATATATAGTACTTAAAACATATAAATTAATATAAAATTTAAAAACAAAAACAAGCCAGCCAAATCAAATAATTCCTACTGTCCTCAGGTTTATTTCATGCCACAGTTAAAAGTGGGGAATGGGAGGAGATAGAGCCTGTGTGACTTCTCTGATTTTCCTTCAAGGTTAAAATTAAAATGTTGGTCCTCCTAGAGACTTACTGCTAAGCCTCTGTTCAGTAATGCTCAGGAGGCCTTTCCTGGGGTCTCTCTCGCTTCCTGGACTGTATTAATAGTAGTGCTATTTCCATTCCAGAGTTCACATACCATTTGTGACTTCCCCAGTCACAGTAGGAAAATCTTCTTTTATTTTATCCTTGCCTTTCAGAAGCTGTCAAACCCAATTTTCCTTCTTTTTAGTTCTATCTGGGCCCTCAGCAGTATGGATGTTGCCCACTCACATTGGATGAGGGCAGATCTTCAAATGTCAGCCTCTTCCAGAAATACCCTCACAGATATACCCAGAAACAATGCTTTATCATCTCTGGGTACCCCTTAATCCAGTCAAGTAGACATCTAAAAATTAACCATCACAGATGGAATGTTTCATTTATCAACTCATCTGAAAAGCTCATTGAAAATATTTTTAATGTTGTAAAGTATAAATGGAAATATTTATAGAAAGCCTTCATCAGTGTTTCTCCAAATTAAATGGCAGTAGAGAATAGATAAGGAATACTACTTTCATCACTTCTGGACAGTACCAAATAACATGACATTCTTAAAATAAGTTCATCTAGAAGTCATTCAATAGCTTCTTGTAACAAAATTTTGGTTGAACAAAAGTTTTTTATATGAGCTAAATATTAGATAATGTTAAAAATTACTGTTTGATAGATATGGATATGATATTGTGACTATGCAGAAAAATATCATTTTTGAGGCTACATGTAGAAAAATTTAGGAATGTCATGACATCATTTTATTAATTTACTTTAAAATAGTTCAGCAATAATGTATATGCCAATACAAATTGAAATAAAAATAATTCAGCTGAGAAATGAAGCATCTATTTTTAAAAGTTAATATTTGTTGTGATGGCTAATTTTATGGGTCAATTTGACTGGGCTAAGGGACGCCCAGATAGTTGGTAAAGCATTATTTCTGGTGTGTCCATGGGGGTGTTTCTGGAAGAGATTAACATTTAAATCAGCAGACTGAGTAAAGAAGATCCGCTTTCACCAAAGACAGTGCACATCATCCAATACTCCAGGAAAGGGCAAATTTGCTCCCTCTTTTTTTGAGCTGGGACATCCATCTTCTTCTGCCCTTGGACATTGGTTCTCAGGCCTTTGGGCACTGGCACTTAACACCAGCACCACCCTCCACCTCCACCCGTGTGGTTCTTGGGCCTTTGCACTGAGACTGAATTACATCGCCAGCATTCCTGGTTCTCCAGTTTGCAGATGGCATATTATGGGGATTTTTAGCCTCCATAGTCACATAAGCAAATACCCATAATGGATTTTCTCTTACATATCTATATATGCCCTATTGTTTCTGTTTCTCTTGAGTACACTGACTACTACATTTATTGACTATGGAAGATGGTAAAGTGTATTTTCCTGTATCTTTCTACAATGCTGTGTTTGAAAATTTTTATTAAACAGGAAAAAACAATATGGTAAGGAACCAAATGACTGGCTAAAAGAAAAAAATTCAAAAAGAAACCAATTCTTAGTATACACTACTTTCTCAGAAAATGTTTCAATAACTTTTGGTCAGTTTGGCTATGTACACAGAGGAATCAAGATTCTGTATCAACCAAAAAAACAGAATACTCAAACTGATAAATCCTCATAATCATCCAAAATAAGCAACAGTGAACAGATTGCTTTTATCATTCTTAAAAAGACAGGTATTTCTATAAATCAACTAAATATATTATTCCTACATTCCACTACTTGATTTTTGTTTATTTTTTCAATTTGTCTTTTAAATAGCATTGCTTTATTTTACTTATTTTCATAGTTACTTTCCATTTACAGCAGGTAATTCCAATTTTCCATTCACTGTGGTTTTCTTTCCAAATATATTTACTTTAGCAAAAAAAATGAGTTGATTTAAAGAAAATTGTTGGCAAGAATTACTACTTTGATATTTGAATGGCTGAAGTTTGGAAAATACTGAGCAAAAAAAAAAAAATAGAAAAAGTAAAATGAGTTTTAACAAGTCATAGTTCCATAAAAACATTAGTCCCAAAACATACTCCTAGAAAAAATAATAATAATAATGCTTTGCACTAAAATGAGTTGGGTTGTATACTACATCATCCTCTAAGAGAGTCACAATGCACATTAGCATATTAAAAGCTTGGAGCTGTTCTGCAATAAAGAAACCAAGTTAATTTTAAGCAGCAGTTCCCAAATTTTTATGACCAGAAAGCATTTTTTTCTCTAAATAAAACTATTAACATTGAGACCTATTTTAGAAAACACTAGCGGTAAAGAGATATTTTCAGGGAAGAGGAGCTTGCTGATATTGATGAGGGAATAGATATCAACTGGGGGCTGCCTTCTCCCTCAGCTCTTTCAGAGGATCTAGAGCAGTTAAGCTAACAGAACCCCAGGGGCAGAGCTGATATAAAAGAGAGAAGACCCAAATAAGTGATGAGATGTTGACTAGCTCTGGCAGCAGGTCAGATCCCATAAGAGAAATAACTCAGCAGGAATCTCAGTGGGAGTCAACACTGTATACCCAGCTGGGAGAGAGGGGTGCTCTTAAGACTAGGTTAAAGGGAAATGAAGGTGCTCTGTTGTTACAAAAAGAGCTCAGAAAAATTCAAGTTTGGATTTTAGAAGACTTATTTGCTTTCAAAATGTATTCTAAAGATTAACCTTCGAATGTGGATTGCCATTTTATTTTCTGACATCTGCCTGCTTTTTGCGTGGATTCAAAAATAGCCTAGGTGATGGCTAAAGGTTGAAAAGGTGCCTCATTAAATTAAAAAGGAATTTTAAAGAATTATTTTCAATGCGTGTTAGAACTTTATTCAAATCTGCCTTCTTAATAAAAAGGGCTTATATTCTTTCATTGTGTTGGCAAGAAAAAAGAAATAATATTACGAGAAATTCAAGCCGATGCAGCAAAATATTGGTGGGAAGCCAATATTTTTTCAAAACAGATAATTAAAGAAATCTGAATGATAGAAAAAAATGTATAGGTTCCCCTTGGTTTTCTAAATATGAATGTGCTAAAAGAAGACCATACTAAAAATTAGTGACAATGTAAGAACCAGCTGGGAACCCTGAAAATTGAAGACAAGTCTCAGTTAATTTAGAAAGTTTCATTTGCCATGGTTGAGGATGTGTGCCCTTGTACTGCCTCAGGAGGTCCTGAGGACATGTGCCCAAGGTGGTCAGAGCACAGCTTGGTTTTATATGTTTTAGGGAGACATGAGGCATCAATCAACATATGTAAAACAAACATTGGTTCATTCCAAAAAGGCAAGGCAACTCAAAACAAAAGTGGGACAACTCAAAGCATGGAGGGGTCTTCCAGGTCACAACCATTCCAGAGACAAATGGTTGCATTCTTCTGAGTTTCTGATTAGCCTTTCCAAATGAGGCAATCAGATTTGTATTCATCTCAGTAGGCAAAGAGATGACTTTGAATAGAATGGGAGGCAAGTTTGCCCTAAGCACCTTGAATTTTCCTTTTATTTTAGGGATTTTAGGGGCCAAAGATATTTTCCTTTCACATTTCCCCCTTTTTCCTTTTAAAAATCTTTCAGAGAAAGCATTTTAGAAGAAAATAAGTCTCTGGTCCCAGGTTTTGTCTGATCTCTCATGGCTAGGAGTAGGTCCTCAGTTATTAGGAAATCTCACTTTTAGAAGGCTGTTAAGTCTCATGTCCTACAAAAAGAAAATAGGGGGAGGAAGGGAGAAAAACAACAACAAACAAAAGAACAATCGTGGAAAATAGATATAGTCCACATTACCCTGAATTCCATATATTAGTAGGCAAGTATAAAAGTGGCTTATGTATGTAAATAGGTTGCTGTTATTTTCTTCTGAAGTTTAAGTTGCTAGCTTCAGTTTGCAAGGCTTTACAAAAGCACAGCTTAGTTTTCAGTTACTCCAATTTTTCCAAATTAGGAAAAAATTTTAAAAAGAAATTAAAAAAATTGAAAACATTATTTTGAAGACCTGCAGCCAAGAAAAATTAGAATTCATTTCAAAATGTAGAAAATAATAAAAACTGAAAAACACTAGGGAAGACTAGAATCTAACAACAGGTGTACTATAGTTTTTGAAACATAATTTTTCTTTCTCCGGTTTCCCATTTTTACTAAAGACAAATCATGGTAGGGCTGATTTGCTTTATTATGCTTGGCCTAATAATTTGTATACAGTGCAGCAAGAAAAAGTATTTTTTACATAGGCTTTTAAGTTGGCTGTGATGGAACTGTGTTCCACAGGAAGAATGTTAGATAAGACTTTTCTAAAGCCAACCCAAGCCATGGGTTTGTGCCACCAAATACCTATGAGTTGGGTAATTTTCTCTTCTTGAGGTTCCAAGATAAACTTGGGGCTTCTGAGCCTGTCAGAAAGTGACATTCTTTACCTATCACAGGACAGGACCCCTGTACAGAGGCTCTGTAGACAAAGGCATGAGGCTAGTTTTTCCAAATGGTTTTTACTGGCTCTATAAGTCAAGCTGTATTCCTTAAAGGAAAGCACACCTTTCCAGTCAAAGCCTTGGTAAAAACCAGTTTCTCCTATTGTGTCCTGTTACAGATGAAAACAGGTTCTTATTGCACTTATGCAAATAACTGTATTGTCATAGTTAAGAATATTCACAAATAGTTTCCAAATTCTTGAGAAAATCAGTAGAGACAAACAAATATGCTCAAATTTTATTCATAGAAGTATACTTTACTCAACTGTTGAAAGTTGCTTAAAGTTTTCCTGACTCTGAAAAACAAAACAAAGGATCAGCAATGTCTTAAGCAAAAATTTAAAAGGATTAGTCTTCTATCAGTTCAGTTCATGCAGTTAACTCCTGTTCTGCTTTATATTCCTGAACATTTCAGCTCTCCATGAGAGTCCTGAAAGTTTTTTCCTCTATTCTAACGTCACAATCTCCAAAGTTACCAGAAACCTGCATTTAAGAACACGTATTAGGGTTCTATAGCTGATTATAAAACCACCTTCTAAGGAGGACCGAAACAAGACAAGAATTGTCTGTGGATGACAGAACGTTTTAGGGCAGCCATAGATAAAATTGACAAGGAAATTTGTTACCCAATTATTACTGATAATGTACACTAAGTTGTATCAGAGTTATAGGAGTGTCCCACACTTTTGGAACACATACCAATAACATATTTATACAAATATAGCCTAAAGAAAACCAAACACCATTTCATATTTGACAATGTTTCCTGTGTAATTTTTATGCTAAATAAGCCAAATTATGTCATTCTTGGACTTTAGGGAACCAAATATCTTAAAGGATTAATTAGATCAAAATAGACATAATTTATAATTTGATTTTGGAAAGGTTATCAAATATCAAAGGTTTAAAATACTTAATATCACAGTTCATTGTAAAATAAGTCATTCAGTTGACCAAAGTGATAACTCAAGGATTTTTTTTTTAAAGGCAAAAACTTTCATTCTTTGAGAGAGGAGACTTAATTTTCCAAACAATAAGCCTTAATAAAAACAGCATGAAGCCAACTACATTTTTTTTCAAAATTTTATAAACAGTCTATAAAATTTTAATCTTGACCATAAGATAAAACTTCCATTAGCCTTTCATAACCTTTATAACCTTTATTTAGAAGTCAGCTAATGCTTCAGGAAAACCTTGCTAATCTGGCATGGTCCTATATGATGGTCTTGCCTCAGTGTGCCTTTGACATTAATGAGTAATTTATGGAGAAACAATATATTTTATCTCTCAAAATTGGCCTTTGCAATCTCACACAACCACCTCTTCTGAGATAGTCCCTGGGCCTTGAGGAGTTAAATAGCTTTAATTTCTGGCCTGTGTTTCAGGAATGCAGTTTATTTTGATTGGCATCTTCTACTAGGCCGGAATATGAGGCTTTAATTGCTTTCGGTGTTTAAAATTTAGCAGAACCTGGCATCATTTTACACCCAGGAGTCAAAGCCCTGTAACTCAATGTCACAAGTACTTTAGAAGTGCATACAGAGAGATACTCAGATGTAATCATCTTAATTTAAAAATTTTTTAATCTTAGTTTTTTTCTGAGCAAACTAAAACTTAATAGTAATGTGACAACTTGATCGTATAAAAGTTTGTTTTTTAAAAAAATATATAAATCCTTTTGTTGGGACTTACACAGACTATTCATGCCTGGACTTTCTGGTTTATCCTAAACATCCCTCCTTCTAAAACAGCCAGTCATTTTACTCTAGGACTAAATTTACTATACAAGATTCTTTCTTAATGAAATTATTTATCTTTAAGCTTTCTTACTAAAAAAAAAAAAAAGAAAAGAAAAAAAAACCTGTTTATTTTTATGACTTTCTTTACATTTTTTTTTATTTTCTGGTTTCTTTTACCTTGTTTTATACATGATCTTTAAATAAGCTTTGAATTAGACAAAGATTGTTCACCATTTTTAAAAGGACACAACTTTTTATTTTTTAGAATGTTTTTCTACAATTATATTTTCATTAGCAAATACCCAAATATTATGATGAATTTCTCTACAAGTATTTATCCTATTACATTTACACAGTTTTCTTTTGTTTACCTAGATTATTTGTGAAAACTATGATAGTCATTATTTTAAGTTATGAAACCACCATTACAAAATTATAACTGAGACAGTAAAAAAGATTTGACCTAGCTGACTTCATCTTGCTTTTAACCTCCAAGCTGTCCTTGTTCATTCCTGGGTGCGGGCCGAACTAACTTTGGGAGGAACTTAGTTTACAGTTCAGCTTTGTAACAAAGATGACAGCAAACCTTATTGCCTTTGGACTAGACTGCCTAAAGCTACAAGATTAAAAGTTATAGTAATCGGCTGAAAGTGGTAGCTCATGTCTGTAATCCCAGCACTTTGGGAGGCCAAAGTGGGTGGGTCACTTGAGGTCAGGAGTTCAAAACCAGCCTGACCAACATGGTGAAACCCTGTCTCTACTAAAAATACAAAAATTAGCCAGGTGTGGTGGTGGGTGCCTGTAGTCCCAGCTACTCAGGTGGCTGAGGCACAAGAATCACTTGAACCCAGGAGGCAGAGGTTGCAGTGAGCCAAGATTGCACCACTGCACTTCAGCCTGGGTGACTGAGACTCCATCTCAAAAAAAAAAAAAAATTATGATAATCTTACTAAATTAAAGATGTAACAAGTTTTATTAAACTAATATCAATGTCTTATCTATTAAAGATTACACAAGCAAAGATCATTCTGTTTTGGGTTGGGTGTATAGTTTTGTAATCCCTATGCCAAATTTTGACACCTTACAGTGTTTGGCAGGGATAAGTATGAAATTGGGTGATTAATAAATGCAAAAAAAAGTATGTTGGCAAATTCTTAAGACATTTCTAATATTATTTTACCAATAATTTAAAGTCAGCTTATTTATTAAAGATTTTACTTAAATCAGGTGAACTTGAAAAAGTTCTCTTTTTTCTTTAGTATCTGATTTAAGCACTTTTATTATTTGTTAAGCCAATTAATTAGAGCTCTTTTATATAATTTTAGTAGTGAAACATTGTGTACACAACACATAAATATACCGATGCATTAGGCATGCTGATAGAAGCGCGTCTTACAGATTCACAAAGACCTCTTTTTTTCCCTTTTTTAAAAATCTTACCCTAGGCAGTTGTCAGCTTAATAGCCTTAAATTTGCATATTAAAGGAAACAACTGGGTGAAAAATAAGATAGCAAAATTTGCATCATAAGGTAGAAAGTCTGGTGGGCTAGCGGGAAATTAAAACAAATTTAATTGCCAATTGAACATACAATTATAGAAGTCTTTTATAAAGGCCTTCAAATATATACACGTACACATATACATACACACATACACACAAAGATTCTATTGTTTTTACTTCAGTACTTTAGTCATCAGATAAATGCAAATTTGTCAGCTTGCAAAAAAAAAAAAAAAAAACTGTTAAGTCCAAACAGTGGTTTTTATTTCAGTAGAAAAGTAACAGCAGATTTAAAGCAGGCAGAAAAGAAAAGAGAGAAAAGGGAAACCTAGGAACTCTTAATGTGTGGGTCAACCTTAAGGCTCTTTTTCCCTAATGTAAATGTGCACAAAGACCATATTACTTCCATTTTTCTCTGGCAAGTAGAGGTGCCATAAAACCTACAGAGTGATCAAAAGGGGGTCATTCCCCTTGTTTTCTCCTCATTATTTGATTATTTGTTTCCTGCTCTTTTTCTTTCTTTTTTTTTTTTTTTTTTTTTTTTTTCCTTAAAAGGAGGAACTGAGCTATGGCCTATGGTTTTCATGTGGTGGATTGATATGTGCTTTTTGTGGGCAAGGCTCCACAGTGTGTCACCACTGAGTCATTTACACCTTCTTACATGTCTCAGAACTTATATGCGTTTCCTGGATGATTCACTTTCTAAAATCAATTTTTGTTGGGGATTTTCCTGCAGGATCACAGCATGTAGTAGGGGATCAACACCCCAGACTTTCCCACAAGACCCCTGGTCACCCAGGGGTACCTTTTGGCTGGAAGGAGCAAATGCCCTTTTTCTTTAGCACTGGGAAAACTCAGTCTCTCATTAACCCATGAAAACAACAGTTGAGTTCCTCATGCAAATGCTCACAGACAAATCAAATTAAGATTAATTTTGGAAGAAAAAGCAATAGAGAAGGCCCTTTAGAATGCATCTCTGAACTAGAATTAGAATCCATAAACAACAACTTCCTAAAAGAGAAAAGAAAAACAAAACAGCCAAGACCACTTCCTGTTCTCATCCTAATTCTCATCCACCATTATACATGCCAAGGTCAAATTCCCTCACAGTGAAAAGTCATCTCTGGCACTCCAAAAGCCAAAGAGGTCAAATCATGCAATATAGGAAAACAGAGCTTTAGACCTAAAAAGAATTTGCCCATGACTCTTGAAACTCCACAAAGAAAACAAAACACCCCAAAAGGGGGTGAGTGGTGACTTTGTCCTAAATTCTTTAAAGGGGTTCAAGTCATTGTCAGGCCTCTGAGCCCAAGCCAAGCCATCGCATCCCCTGTGACTTGCATCTGGATATGCCCAGATGGCCTGAAGTAACTGAAGAATCACAAAAGAAGTGAATATGCCCTGCCCCACCTTAACTAATGACATTCCACCACAAAAGAAGTGTAAATGGCCGGTCCTTGCCTTAACTGATGACATTACCTTGTGAAAGTCCTTTTCCTGGCTCATCCTGGCTCAAAAAGCACCCCCACTGAGCACCTTGCCACCCCCCATTCCGGCCCACCAGAGAACAAACCCCCTTTGACTGTAATTTTCCTTTACCTACCCAAATCCTATAAAACGGCCCCACCCTTATCTCCCTTCACTGACTCTTTTCGGACTCAGCCTGCCTGCACCCAGGTGAAATAAACAGCCATGTTGCTCACACAAAGCCTGTTTGGTGGTCTCTTCACATGGACACGCATGAAATTTGGTGCCGTGACTCGGATCAGGGGACCTCCCTTGGGAGATCAATCCCCTGTCCTCCTGTTCTTTGCTCTGTGAGAAAGATCCACCTATGACCTCAGGTCCTCAGATCGACCAGCCCAAGGAATATCTCACCAATTTTAAATCAGGTAAGCGGCCTCTTCTCTCTTCTCCAACCTCTCTCACTGTCCCTCAACCACTTTCTTCTTTCCACTCGTCAATCTCTCCCTTCTCTTAATTTCAATTCCTTTCATTTTCTGGGAGAGACAAAGGAGATACGTTTTATCTGTGCACCCAAAACTCCAGTGCCGGTCACGGGCTGGGAAGGCAGCCTTCCCTTGGTGTTTAATCATTGGAGGGACACCTCTCTGATTATTCACCCACGTTTCAAAGGTGTCAGACCACGCAGGGATGCCAGCCTTGGTCCTTCACCCTTAGCAGCAAGTCCCGCTTTTCTGGGGAAGGGGCAAGTACCCCAACCCCTTCTCTCCTTGTCTCTACCCCTTCTCTGCTTTCCTGGGGCAGGGGCAAGTACCCCTCAACCCCTTCTCCTTCACTCTTAGCGGCAAGTCCCGCTTTTCTAGAGGAGGGCAAGTACCCCAACCTCGTATCTCTGTGCCCCAATCCCTTATTTCAGTGCCCCGACCCCTTATTTCCATGCCCCTACCCCTTATTTCTGCACCCCATCCCTTATTTTTGCACCCCAACCTCTTATCTCTGCACCCCAACCCCTTTTCCCACTTTTCTGGAAGGTAAGAACCTCCGAACCCCTTCCCTCTGTTTCTCTACTCTCTCTTTTCTCTAGGCTTGCTTCCTTCATTATAGGCAACCTTCTACCCTCCATTCCTCCTTCTACTCCCTTGGCCTGTGTTCTCAAAAACTTAAAACCTCTTCAACTCACACCTGACCTAAAACCTAAATGCCTTATTTTCTTCTGCAATGCCGCTTGACCCCAATACAAACTCGACAGTAGTTCCAAATAGCCAGAAAATGGCACTTTGAATTTTTCCATCCTGCAAGATCTAAATAATTCTTGTCATAAAATAGGCAAACGGTCTGAGGTGCCTGACGTCCAGGCATTCTTTTACACATCAGTCCCTTCCTAGTCTCTGTGCCCAGTGCAACTCGTCCCAAATCTTCCTTCTTTCCCTCCCGCCTGTCCCCTCAGTACCAACCCCAAGCATCGATGAGTCTTTCTAATCTTCCTTTTCTACACACCCATCTGACCTCTCCCTTCCTCCCCAGGCTGCTCCTCGCCAGGCCGAGCTAGGTCCCAATTCTTCCTCAGCCTCTGCTCCTCCACCCTATAATCTTTTTATCACCTCCCCTCCTCACACCTGCTCTGGCTTACAGTTTCGTTCCGTGACTAGCCCTCCCCAACCTGCCCAGCAATTTACTCTTAAAAAGGTGGCTGGAGCCAAAGGCATAGTCAAGGTTAATGCTCCTTTTTCTTTATCCCATATCAGAA
The DNA here is from genome assembly GCF_000001405.40 of Homo sapiens. Taxonomy (NCBI): domain Eukaryota; kingdom Metazoa; phylum Chordata; class Mammalia; order Primates; family Hominidae; genus Homo; species Homo sapiens. Next base: position 90,084,873 of record NC_000010.11, on the reverse strand, counting down.
GCGTTTAGGCTCTTTTTCATCAAATATAAAAATCCAGCCCAGTTCATGGCTCGTTTGGCAGCAACCCTGAGATGCTTTACAGCCCTAGACCCTAAAAGGTCAAAAGGCCGTCTTATTCTCACTATACATTTTATTACTCAATCTGCTCCCGACATTAAATAAAACTCCAAAAATTGGAATCTGGCCCTCAAACCCCACAACAGGACTTAATTAACCTCACCTTCAAGGTGTACAATAACAGAAAAAAGTTGCAATTCCTTGCCTCCACTGTGAGACAAACCCCAGCCACATCTCCAGCACACAAGAACTTCCAAACGCCTGAACCGCAGCGGCCAGGCGTTCCTCCAGAACCTCCTCCCACAGGAGCTTGCTACATGTGCCAGAAATCTGGCCACTGGGCCAAGGAATGCCCGCAGCCCAGGATTCCTCCTAAGCCGCGTCCCATCTGTGTAAGACCCCACTGAAAGTCGGACTGTTCAACTCACCTGGCAGCCACTCCCAGAGCCCCTGGAACTCTGGCCCAAGGCTCTCTGACTGACTCCTTCCCAGATCTTCTCGGCTTAGCGGCTGAAGACTGAAACTGCCCGATTGCCTTGGAAGCCCCCTAGAGCATCACGGATGCCGAGCTTCGGGTAACTCTCACAGTGGAAGGTAAGCCCGTCCCCTTCTTAATCAATACAGAGGCTACACACTCCGCATTACCTTCTTTTCAAGGGCCTGTTTCCCTTGCCTCCATAACTGTTGTGGGTATTGACGGCCAGGCTTCTAAACCTCTTAAAACTCCCCAACTCTGGTGCTAACTTAGACAATACTCTTTTAAGCACTCCTTTTTAGTTATCCCCACCTGCCCAGTTCCCTTATTAGGCTGAGACACTTTAACTAAATTACCTGCTTCCCTGACTATTCCTGGACTACAGCTATATCTCATTGCCGCCCTTCTTCCCAATCGAAAGCCTCCTTTGCATCCTCCTCTTGTATCCTCCCACCTTAACCCACAAGTATAAGATACCTCTACGCCCTCCTTGGTGACTGATCATGTACCCATTACCATCTCATTAAAACCTAATCACCCTTACCCCACTGAACGCCAATATCCCATCCCGCAGCACGCTTTAAAAAGATTAAAGCCTGTTATCACTCGTCTGCTACAGCATGGCCTTTTAAAGCCTATAAACTCTCCTTACAATTCCCCCATTTTACCTGTCCTAAAACCAGACAAGCCTTACAAGTTAGTTCAGGATCTGCACCTTATCAACCAAATTGTTTTGCCTATCCACCCCGTGGTGCCAACCCATACACTCTTTTGTCCTCAATACCTTCCTCCACAATTCACTATTCTGTGCTTGACCTTAAAGATGCTTTTTTCACTATTCCCCTGCACCTCTTGTCCCAGCCTCTCTTTGCTTTCACTTAGACTGACCCTGACACCCATCAAGCTCAGCAAATTACCTAGGCTGTTCTGCCGCAAAGCTTCACAGACAGCCCCCATTACTTCAATCAAGCCCAGATTTCTTCCTCATCTGTTACCTATCTCGGCATAATTCTCATAAAAACACAAGTGCTCTCCCTGCCAATCATGTCTGAATGATCTCTCAAACCCAAGCACCTTCTACAAAACAACAACTCCTTTCCTTCCTAGGCATGGTTAGCACAGTCAGAATTCTTACACAAGAGCCAGGACCACACCCTGTAGCCTTTCTGTCCAAACAACTTGACCTTACTGTTTTAGCCTAGCCCTCATGTCTGCATGCAGCGTCTGCCGCTGCTTTGATACTTTTAGAGGCCCTCAAAATCACAAACTATACTCAACTCACTCTCTACAGTTCTCGTGACTTCCAAAATCTATTTTCTTCCTCATACCTGATGCATATACTTTCTGCTCCCCGGCTCCTTCAGCTGTACTCACTCTTTGTTGAGTCTCCTAAAATTACCGTTGTTCCTGGCCCAGACTTCAATCCGGCCTCCCACATTATTCCTGATACCACACCTGACCCCCATGACTGTATCTCTCTGATCCACCTGACATTCACCTCATTTCCCCAAATATCCTTCTTTCCTGTTCCTCACCCTGATCACGCTTGATTTATTGATGGCAGTTCTACCAGGCCTAATCGCCACACACCAGCAAAGGCAGGTTATACTATAGTACTAGCCACTAGCCCGCCTCTTAGAACCCCTCATTTCCTTTCCATCGTGGAAATCTATCCTCAAGGAAATAACTTCTCGGTGTTCCATCTGCTATTCTACTACTCCTCGGGGATTATTCAGGCCCCCTCCCTTCCCTACACATGAAGCTCCAGGATTTGCCCCCACCCAGGACTGGCAAATTAGCTTTACTCAACATGCCCTGAGTCAGATAACTAAAATACCTCTTAGTCTAGGTAGATACTTTCACTGGATAGGTAGAGGCCTTTCCTACAGGGTCTGAGAAGGCCACCGCAGTCATTTCTTCTGTTCTGTCAGACATAATTCCTCAGTTTAGCCTTCCCACCTCAATACAGTCTGATAACAAACGAGCCTTTATTAGTCAAATCAGCCAAGCAGTTTTTCAGGCTCTTAGTATTCAGTGAAACCTTTATATCTCTTATGGTTCTCTGACTTCAAGAAAAGTAGAATGGACTAAAGGTCTTTTAAAAACACACCTCACCAAGCTCAGCCACCAACTTAAAAAGGACTGGACAATACTTTTACCAATTTCCCTTCTCAGAATTCAGGCCTGTCCTCGGAATGCTACAGGGTACAGCCCATTTAAGCTCCTGTATAGACGCTCCTTTTTATTAGGCCCCAGTCTCATTCCAGACACCAGACCAACTTAGACTGTGCCCCAAAAAACTTGTCATCCCTACTATCTTCTGTCTAGTCATACTCCTATTCACCGTTCTCAACTACTCATACATGCCCTGCTCTTGTTTACACTGCCGGTTTACACTGCTTCTCCAAGCCATCACAGCTGATATCTCCTGGTGCTATCCCCAAACTGCCACTCTTAACTCTTGAAGTAAATAAATAATCTTTGCTGGCAGGAATATGCTGAATCACCTTAGGCACTCTCTAATCAGATATCCTGAGTCGTCCCAATTCTTAGACCTTTTATACCTGTTTTTCTCCTTCTGTTATTCCATTTAGTTTCTTAATTCATCCAAAACCGTATCTAGGCCATCACCAATCATTCTATACAACAAACGTTTCTTCTAACATCCCCACAATATCACCCCTTACCACAAGACCTCCTTTCAGCTTAATCTCTCCCACTCTAGGTTCCCACACCGCCCCTAATCCCGCTTGAAGCAGCCCTGAGAAACACCGCCCATTCTCTCTCCATACCACCCCCCAAAAATTTTCACCGCCCCAACACTTCAACACTATTTTGTTTTATTTTTCTTATTAATATAAGAAGGCAGGAATGTCAGGCCTCTGAGCCCAAGCCAAGCCATCGCATCCCCTGTGACTTGCACATGTATGCCCAGATGGCCTGAAGTAACTGAAGAATCACAAAAGAAGTGAATATGCCCTGCCCCACATTAACTGATGACAGTCCACCACAAAAGAAGTGTAAATGGCCGGTCCTTGCCTTAACTGATGACATTACCTTGTGAAAGTCCTTTTCCTGGCTCATCCTGGCTCAAAAAGCACCCCCACTGAGCACCTTGCGACCCCCCACTCCTGCCTGCCAGAGAACAAACCCCCTTTAACTGTAATTTTCCTTTACCTACCCAAATCCTATAAAACGGCCCCACCCTTATCTCCCTTCACTGACTCTCTTTTTGGACTCAGCCTGCCTGCACCCAGGTGAAATAAACAGCCATGTTGCTCACACAAAGCCTGTTTAGTGACCTCTTCACACGGACGTGTATGAAAGTCATTAGAAGCTTTCTCTAGAATTTTTGATACTTCAGATGGCAAAGGGGGAAGGAGGTATAGGGTGGAAGAAAAGTAAACAAAAGAACAATTTTTTTTTTTTTAAAGAAAGGAAGCGAACACAGAAACCAAACACATGGTTTTCTTGTTTTCTCTCTTTGTTTAATTTTGCAGCTATGAGGAATTTTAGCCAAATTAGAGAGGGCTTGTTACCCATCATTTGCAATTCTCACTTGGATTTGTCCAAGTCAGATAGAGTTGATGAAATCTGATGGGAGAAAGACTGGAACAAACAACAACAACAAAGCCCAACAATATGATCACTGAGTGCTCCAATGATAAGCTGGTTGTTGAACTTTAGCCAAGACAAAACCACAATTCAGCTACTTACCCAGAGATGGATCTTAGGCTGAAGACTGCTTTCTACCATTGTAGAAGCAGGAAAAATACTCCAACTCGTCTTCCCAGCTGGGAGCGAGCTCAAACTCCATAAAGGAGTTACCTGCTTTCCATTGTCTTGGAAACAGGAAATCTTGCCTTCCTTGTTGGAAGCAAGAAAAACAAAAGGAGTATACAGCAAAATAAACTTTAGATCTTGACCAAATTTTTGGAGATCAGGGATTCTCTGGAAGGGTTGCTCCCTGACCTCAGCAAATTGTCCTATTGGTTTGAGCTATAAAGTTAGCTCATGCTGGTACGAAGAACCGATAGGAGATTTGTCAGAAGTCAGGGGCATCTCCACTCAGAATCCCTCCATGGTTACCAAATGTGAACCCCCAAAATTTGAGACAGGTCTCAGTTAATTTAGAAAGTTTATTTTGCCAAAGTTGAGGATGCATGCCTGTGACACAGCCTCAGGAGGTCCTGACAACATGTGCTCAAAGTAGTCAGAGCACAGCTTGGTTTTATACATTTTAGGGAGACAGGAGACATCAATCAACATATATAACAATGGTTCAGTCTGGAAAGGCGGGACAACTCAAAACAAAAGTGGGACAACTCAAAGCGGGGAGGGTCCAGGTCACAGGTTGGTGAGAGACAAATGGTTGCATTCTTCTGAGTTTCTGATTAGCCTTTCAAAGGAGGCAATTAGACATGCATTTATCTCAGTGAGCAGAAGGATGACTTTTAATAGAATGGGAGGCAGGTTTACCCTAAGCAGTTTCCAGCTTGAATTTTCCCTTTAACTTAGTGATTTTGGGGGCCCAAGATATTTTCCTTTCACACAGCAATGTCAATCATTTTCAGGTTTCAAGAGCTCTATGAAATGTCTACTTATCCTGTAAAATCCTGTTGGTTCTTCCAATAACCAACTATATTTGTCTTCTCCTTGAGTGGTATGAAGGCAGGGGTGGTTTTAGACAAGCTTGATCGCTGCAGTGGCATAGCATATAATAGGGGTACAACATGATCAGGCTCACAAACATCATATCATCCATGCTCAACTTCACCTGAAAGTGGACAGCTGAACCAAAAAGAAAACAAATACAATTCAGGTACTATCCCTCACAGGGGCAGGGAGAAATAGTTCTCTCTCCATTCATTTTCCCACCTGTAAAACAAGAGTGGTGGAGACCAGCCTGGGCAACATAATGACACTTTGTGTCTACTACATTTTTTTAAATTAACCAGGCATAGTAGTTCATGACTGCAGTCCCAGCTACTCAGGAGGCTGAGGTGGGAGGATCTCTTGAGCCCGGGAGACCAAAGCTGCAGTGAGCCATGATTGCACCACTGCACTCCAGCCTGAGTGACAGAGAGAAACCCTTTCTTAAAAAAAAAAAGTGATAGATCAATAATGTTTCTCAGGCATTTCCAGGTTTTTATTTCTATAGAGGTTTATTTCTCTAGTTTCATTTCAATTCTCTTTTTGTTAGCCCTTTGAAATTCAGACTTAATCTCTTCTTTGATGTCACTATATTTTGTAAGCATGACAATGAAGCAAAATTTCTTCATTGTGCTTGCTTTATTTAATGGTAGGCAAGGAAGCAGTTAATGCACAGCTGAGAGAAACCTGAATTCCAAGTGCACCCGGTCTGGCATGACATTACTGTGCCTTTTCCTAGATTCCACAGTCAGTAGAGAAAACAGACTGGGTATATGGGCACAGAGCTTCTCTCTAGGACAGGGAATAATCTACCAGTCTATTCTAGACATTAATTTACCTTGCCTGGGTATCAGTGTGCCTTTAAGTGAATATCGAACTGTATAACTTCCAGGGAAATTTGAGCTTCAACAGTCTATGATTCTAAGTTGACTTCACCATTTTTGGACTATTTTAGTTCCATGGGATATGGTAACACTTCTAAGCACTTGCCTATCAGCCTAAAGCTTGAGTCCTTCAGAGCCAGAGAAAGAAGAGGTTTCACTCTTTGGGTAATGCTTTTGAAAACTTTTAGCCAAAGATTTAAATCAGGCTTATCATAGACTGACTCTGGGGTCAGAAAAATCTAGTTTACTCTCATGGATGTAAACTGAAATCATGAGGGTATTTTCAGCAAGCCTATCTCTCCAAAATTATCAAGTCACACATTCTAATTAGGATAACATGGTTTTGTTTTGTTTTTGTATTTATTTCCAGAATCAGCTGCCTTATATCTGAATGGCTTATGAATAAATACAAATTAAAAATAAGAAGCTTAATTCTCCCAGTTGAAAATAAGGAAATAGAGTTCTTCCACTTTCCTTTTTTTAAATTTTCTTCAGAAAACATGTAGTTGCAAGTTCCTTTGTCAGCTTTATCACCTGAAAGCCATCCCTTTGAAATCAAAGGAAATAGAACCCCTAACTCCCAGTTTCTGTGAGAGTGTAGGGGCCTAACTTCAGTAGCCCCTTGCTCCAAGTATTAAAACTACCTCTGGCAATAAAGATAAAGGAATTTGTTTTTCCTCTAAAGAAAGCCAATTAGCTACCACAGATGGTCACCCCAATTACCAGGTGAATTTAAGACGAACTATGTGTGACAAATGGTGCACTCAAGTTCTTTTACTTGAGAACACAGTATTGTTTATTGTGAAAGCATGTCTGTAATGGGTTGTATCTGTTTGGCTCTTTTTTTTTTTTTTTTTTTTTTTTTTGAGATGGAGTCTCACTTTGTCACCAGGTTGGAATGCGAAGCATGATATCGGCTCGCTCCAACCTCTGTCTCCTGGGTTCAAGCGATTCTTCTGCCTCAGCCTCCCGAGTAGCTGGGACTACGGGTGCATGCCACCACGCCCAGCTAATTTTTTGTGTTTTTAGTAGAGACAGGGTTTCACCATGTTGGCCAGGATGGTCTCGATCTCTTGACCTCATGATCCACATGCCTCGGCCTCCCAAAGTGCTGTGATTACAGGTGTGAGCCACCGCGCCCAGCCCTATTTGGCTTTTTTTAAACGTGAGCTTTCATTCAGTCTGCCATCTCTGGATGAATTGCCCATGTTGCCAGATTACATTCTGGTCTTTTACTTATTAATAATAAAACTATTTACTTTTACTTTCTCTACTATTTTGTGGAGAGGTAGTGTGGGTTGGAAGAAGATTTTTTTTTTAATTATATTTCCACAACAATGGGTATTCTAAATTGGTAGTTTTCAAACCTTTCTAGAAGTGTCTACCAGACTGCTGTAGGAGAGAAAGGCAGAAGAGGATTGCAACATGAGTGACCTCTGAATGTTGCATCTACCAGAAAGTATTCTTTTTGCTGTTTTATATATTGGTATTCTAGGAAATTTTTGCCTAAGATCAGGGTTCCTCTGATAAACAATAATGTTTCAAAACCAGTGACCTGTTTATACCATATGTTTTTATTCTCTATTTCCCTCCAATAATGTAAACTTTTTGAGAGCAGTTATTTTGTTTCTATATGCACTGTTAACTTCCCCAAAACTTAGAAGAGTCCCTGGGACATAGTAGATGCATATTTACCTTGTGTTAAATTAATGAATGATGAAGGGTAGGCAGAACAAAGTGACTGAATAGAAGCCCACAGCAATCATCCCCCGAACAGGAACACCAAATTGAACAACTATGAAGAAAATCAACTTCATAAGAACCTATGATCAGGTGAGTGATCACAGTACCTGCTTTTAACATCATATTAAGGAAAGAGGCACTGAAGAGGGTAGAAAAGACAAGCTTGAAGCAGCAGTGGCCACTTAGCATGGTGAGAGAATCTGTGCATTTGGGGCAAGGAGAGTGCACTTATTGTGAGACTTCACATTGGAACTCAATGCTGCTCTGTCACAGTGGAAAGCAACATAGGGCAGAACTCAGTCGGCATTCACAAAGCATCTAGATGAGTCCCAGCCAGAGGGGAATTGCCCACCCCAGTGGTTGGAACTTGAGTTTCAGCAAGCTCACCACTGTGAACTAAAGTGCTTGGGATACTAAATAAACTTGAAAAGCAATCTATGACACAAGGACTGCAGTCCCTGGGCAAGCATCAGTGCTGTGCTAAGCTCGAAGCCAGCACACCTGGACTTGGAATGTGAGTGGCCTAGTGAGACACCAGCCAGGGCAGCCAAGGGACTGCTTGCACCACCTCTCCACCACCCACAGATAGTGAAGCTCACAGCTCCAGGAGAGACTCCTTCTTTCTCCTGTACTCCTTCAAGAGAGGAGAAGGGAGAGTAAAGAGACCTTTGCCTTAAAACTTAGATATCAGCTTAGCTACAGTACAATAGGGCATCTAGTAGAGTTCCGAAGCCCCCATTCCAGGTTCTATTTCCAAGGCAACATTCCTAGACATACTCTGGTCCAGAAGAAAACCTGCTGTCTTGAAGGGAAGAACCTACTCCTGGAAGGATTCGTCACCTATTGACTAAACAGTCCTTGGGCCCTGAATCATCAGAAGCTGTAGCCAGGCAGTATTTGCCACAGGCCTTGGGTGAGATTCTAAGACATGCTGGCTTCAGGTGTGACCCAGCACATTCCCAGCTGTGGTGGCTGTGGGGAGAGACTCCTTCTGCTTGAGGAAAAAGGAGAAGGAAAGGTAAAGGGGACTTTGTCTTGAAGTTCAGGCACCAGCTTGGCCTCAGCAGAGTAAAGCACCAAGCAGGCTCCTGAAGCCCCTAATCCCAGGCCTTGGTTCCTGAATGGCATTTCTGGATCTGCCCTGGACCAGAAGGAAGCCCACTGCCCTGAAGGAGTAGTCCCAGGCCTGAAGCATTTACCACAACCTGACGGAAGAGCTCTTGGGCCATGAGTGAACATCAGCAGTAGCCAGGCAGCACTTGCTGCGGGCCTGGGGTGATGGTTGCCATGGAGAGAAAATCCTCTGCTTGAGGAAAGGAGGGGGAAGAGTGAGAAGGACTTTCTCTCTTGGCTAGGATGCCAGCTCAGCCACAGTAAAATAGAGCACAAGGTAGACTTCCTAAGGTTCTCGACTCTAGGCCCAGCCTCCCAAAAGGCATCTCTGGACCAACCTGTGGCTGAACTCACCACCCTGAAGGGAAGGACATAAGCCTGGCTGGATTTGCCACCTGCTAATTATAGAGAACATGGGCCTTCAATGAATATAGGTAGTAGTCATCAGTGGTCACTGTGAGCCTTGGGCAAGACCAAATTCTGGCTGCAGGTCTGACCCAGCATGGTCCCAGTGGAGTTGATCACAAGAGTGCCTGTGTCATCCTTCTTCCAACCTCAGGCAGCTCAGTACAGAGAGAAAGATTCCATTTGCTTGGGAAAAAGTAAAGGAAGATAACAAGAGTCTCTTCCCGGTGAGCCAGGGAATTCTCCTGGATCTTACCCAAGACCACCAAGATATACCTCTATGAGTCTTCCAGAGCCACAGAATTACTGGGCTTAGGATGCCCCCTAACATAGAGATGGCTATAGTGACCAAAGACTTAGATTACAACAACCAAGTTTCTTTGAATATATGGAAAGCCTTCCCAAGAAGAACAAGCACAAACAAGCACAGACTGCAAAGACTACAATAAATATCTAGCTCTTTAATGCCCAGACACAAATGAACATTCATAAGCTCAAGACTATTCAGGAAAACATGACCTCACAAAACAAACTAAATGAGGCATTAGTGACCAATCCTGGAGAGACAGAGATATGTGACCTTTCAGATAGAGAATTAAAAAGAGCTGTTTTGAGAAAACTCAATGAAATTAAAGATAGCGCAGAAAAGAAATTCAAACTTCTATCAGATATATTTAACAAAGATATTGAAATTTTTTTAAATCAAGCAGAAATTCTAGAGCTGAAAAATGCAATTGACATACTGAAGAATGCACCAGACTCTCTTTACAGTACAGTTGATCAAGCAGAAGAAATAGTTAATGAGCTTGAAGACAGGCTATTTGAAAATTCAGTCAGAGAAGACAAAAGAATAAGAAAGAATAAAGCACATCCACGAGATGTAGAAAATAGCCCCAAAATGGCAAATCTAAGAGTTATTGGCTTTAAAGAGGAGGTAGAGAGAGAGAAAGATTGGGATGGAAAGTTTATTTAAATGGATAAGAACAGAGAATTTTCCAAACCTACAGAAAGATATCAATATCCAAGTACAAGAAGGTAATAAAATGCCAAGCAGATTTAACCCAAATAAGACTATCTCAAGACATTTAATAATCCTTGACCCAAATGTCAAGGATAAAGAAAGGGTCTTAAAAACAGCAAGAGAAAATAAGCAAATAACATACAATGGAGCTCCAATACATCTGGCAGCAGAATTTTTAGTGGAAACCTCACAGGCCATGAGAGAGTGGCATGACATATTTAAAGTGCTGGGGGTGGAGGGGGGAACAACTTTCATCCTAGAAAAGTATATAAGTGAAAATATACTTCAAACATGAAGGAGAAATAAAGACTTTCCCAGGGAAACAAAAGCTGAGGCATTTCATCAACACCAGATCTGTCCTACAAGAAATGCTAAAGGGAGTTCTTCAATCTGAAATAAAAAGACATTAACAAGCAATAGAAAATCATCTGAAGGTACAAAATTCACTAAGTACACAGAAAAGCACAGAATATTTTAACAGTGTTGCTGGGGTGTGTATACAACTTATATCATGAGTAGAAAGAATAAAAGATGGACCTATCAAAAATAATAACTACATTATTTTTCAAGACATAGTATAAAGACAAAAATAGAAACAACAAAGAATTGAAAAGTGGGGTGAAGAAGGTAGGGTTTTCATTAGTTTTCTCTTTGCTTGTTTATTAGTTTGTGTATTCAGTGTTGTGTTGTCATCAGATTAAAATAACAGACTATATGATATTATTTGTAAGCCTCATAGTAATCTCAAATCAAGAAACATACAAGAGTTACACAAAAAAATAAAAAGGAAGAAATTAAAACATACCAGCAAAGAAAATCACCTTCATAAACGGAAGACAGGAAGGAAGGAAACAAGAGAAGACCACAAAAAACTAAAAAAAGAAAAACAAAATGTCAGAAGTAGGTCCTCACTTATCATAACGTTGGATATAGATGGACTGACTCTCCAATAAAAATTCATAGTGTGGCTGAATGAAAAATAAAAAAGACCCAACAATTTATTGCCTGTAAGAAACACATTTCACCTATAAAGACACACATAGACTGAAAATAAAGAAGTGGAAAAAGACATTCTATGCTAATGGAAACCCAAAAAAGAGCAGGAGTAGCTACACTTACATTAGACAAAATAGATGTCAAGACAAAAACTATAAAAGGAGACAAAAAGTCAGAATATAATGATAACTGGGCCAATTCAACAAAAGGATATGATAATTGTAAACATATATAAATTATAAAAATTATAAACTCTAATAATATTTGCTTTATATATCTGAGTGCACCCAACACTGGAACATCCAGATATATAAAGCAAATATTATTAGAATTAAAGAGAGAGATAATCTCTAATAGAATAATAGCTACAGACTTCAACACCCCACTTTCAGCTTTAGACCAATCATCCAGAGAGAAAATCAACAAAGAAACATTTGGCTTAATCTGTGCTATAGACCAAATGGACCTAATAGATATTTACAGAACATTTCATCCAATAGCTTCACAATACACATTCTTCTCCTCAGCACATGGATCATTGTCAAGGATAGACCATATTTTAAGCCACAAAACAAGACACGACAAAAAGTTGAAATAGTATCAAGTATCTTCTCTGACCACAGTGGAATCAAATTAGAAATCAATAACAAGAGGAATTTTGGAAAGTATACAAACACATGAATATTAAATAACATGCTCCTGAATGACCAGTTAGTCATTGAAAAAAATAAGAAGGAAATCTAAAAATTTTTAGAAATGAAGAAATACAGAAACACAACTATACCAAAACCTATGGGATACCGTGAAGGCCGTATTAAGATGAAAGTTTATAACAATAAGCACCTACACCAAAAAGGTAGGAAAAACTTAAAATAAACAAGTTAACTATACATTTTAAAGAACTAAAAAAGCAAGTGCAAATCAAACCCAAAATTAAGTAGAAGTAAAGAAATAACAAAACTCAGAGCTGAAATAAATGAAATTTAAACAAAAACAATAAAAAGATCAACAAAACAAAAAAAGCATTATTTTTGAAGAGACAAACAAACTTTACAAAACTTTAGCCAAACTAAGAAAAAAAGAAAGAAGATCCAAATAAATAAAATCAAAGATGAAAAAATAGACATTACAACAGATACCACAGAAATTCAAAAGATCATTAGAGACTACTATGAGCAACTATAGGCCAATACATTGGAAACCTAGAGGAAATGAATGAACTCCCGGACACATATGAAGAAATCCAAAACCTAAACAGACTGAAAACAATAATGTTGAAACCATAATAAAAGCCCTCCCTGCAAGGCGGAGGTTGTAGTGAAACGAGATCGTGCCACTGCACTCCAGCTTGGCGACAGAGCAAAGACCCCATCTCAAAAAAAAAAAAAAAAAGTCACCCTGCAAAAAAGCTTGGGACCTGATGGCATCACTACTGTATTCTACCAAATATTTAAAGAAGTAATACCAATCCTAGGGAAACCATTTCAAAAAATAAAAAACAAAGAAATACTTCAAAACTCATTCTGAGACCAGCATTATCCTGATACCAAAACCAAAGACACGTCAAAAAAAGAAAACTACCAGCCAATAACTCTGATGAATATTGACGCAAAAATCCCCAACAAAATACTAGCAACCGTAATTAAACAAAACATTAAAAAGGTCATTCATTATGACTAAATGGGATTTATCCCAAGGATGCAAGAATGGTTCAACATACACAAATCAATCAATGTGATGCATCATATCAGCAGAATGAAGGACAAAAACCATATGAGCATGTCAATTAATGCTGAAAAATGGGCCAGGCACAGTGGCTCATGCCTATAATCCCAGCACTTTGGGAAGCCAAGGTGGGTGGATCACTTGAACTCAGGAGTTTGAGACCAACCTGGCTGACATGGTGAAACCCCATCTCTACTAAAAATACAAAAAAAAAATTAGCTGGGTATGGTGGAAGGTGCTGGAGGGTGCCTGTAATCCCAGCTACTCTGGAGGCTGAGGCAGAAAAATCACTTGAACCTGGATGGTGGAGGTTGCAGTGAGCCGAGATCATTCTACTGTGCTCCAACCTGGGGGACAAGGTGAGACTCTGTCTCAAAAAAAAAAAAAAAAAATCCTGAAAAAGCATTTGATAAAATTTAACATGCCTTCATGATAAAAAACCCTCAAAAACCTGGGAATGGGTCAGACATGGTGGCTTACACCTGTAATCCCAGCACTTTGAGAGGCCGAGGTGGGCAGATCACCTAAGGTCAGGAGTTCGAGATCAGCCTGGCCACATGGTGAAACTCTCGTTTCTACTAAAAATACAAAAATTAGACAGGCATGGTGGTGCACACCTGTAATCCCAGCAACTTGGGAGGCTGAGATAGGAGAATCGCTTCCACCCAGAAGGCAGAGGTTGCAGTGAGTGGAGCTCGCACCAGCTGCACTCCAGCCTGAATGACAAGAGCGAAACTCTGTCTTAAAAAAAAAAAAAAAAAAAAAAAAAAAAAGAAGAAGAAGAAAAGAAAACCTGGGTATAGAAGGAACCTACCTCAGCATAATAAAAAAGACACACAGCTGGTATCATACTGAAGGGGGAAAAACTGAAAGCCTTTCCTCTAAGATCTGGAACAAGACAAGAATACTTACTTTCACCACTGTTATTCAACACAGTACTAGAAGTCCTAGTTAGAACAATCAGACAAGAGAAAGAAATAAAGAGCATCCAAACTAGAAAGGAAAAAGTCAAATTATCTTTGCCTGCAAATGATATAATCTTATATTTGGAAAAGCCTAAAGACCATCAAAAAACTATTAGAACTGATAAACAAATTCAGTAAAGTTGCAGGATGAAAAATCAACATTAAAAATAAGTTAACATTTCTATATGCCAACAGTGAACAATCTGAAAAAAAAAAAAAAAAAGAAAGTCTATTTACAATAGCTACAAATGAAATAAAACATTTAGGAATTAACCAAAGAAGTTAACAATCTTTACAATGAAAACTATAAGACACTGATGCAAGAAATTAAAGAGGACACAAAAAAGTTGAGTTATTCTATGTTCATGGATTGGAAGAATCAATATTGTTAAAATGCCCATACTACCCAAAGGAATCTACAGATTCAGTGCAATCCCTATCAAAATAACAATGGCATTCCTTATAGAAATAGAAAAAATAACCCTAAAATTTATACAGAGCCACAAAATACCTAGAATGGCCAAAGCCATCCTGAGCAAAAAGAACAAAACTGGAGGGATCACGTTACTTAATTTCAAATTATACTACAAAGCTAGAGTAAACAAAACAGCGTAGTACTGGCATAAAAAACACACAGACCAATGGAACAGGATACAGAACACAAAAATAAATCCACACATCTACAGTGAGCTCATTTTTGACAAAGTTGCCATGAATATGTATTGTGGAAAGGACAGTCTCTGCAGTTAATGATGCTGGGAAAACTGGGTATCCATATACAAAAGAATGAAACTTGACCCCCATCTCTCACTATATGCAAAAATCAAATCAAAATGGATTAAAGACTTAAATATAGGACCTCAAACTACAAAACTACTAAAAAAAATTGAAGAGAGTCTCTAGGACATTGGTCTTGGCAAAGATTTCTTGAGTAATACCCCACAAAGCAAAATGGACAAATGGGATCACATCAAGTTAAGAAGCTTCTTCACAGTAAAGGAAACAATCAACAAAGTGAAGTGACAATCTGCAGAATGGGAGAATATATTTGCAAAGCATCCATCTGAAAAAGGATTAATAATCAGAATATATAAGGAGTTCAAACAACCCTATAGGAAAAACTCTATAGGAAAAATAATCTTATTTAAAAATGGACTAAAGATCTCAATAGACATTTTTAAACAAGACATGTAAATGGCAAACAGGTATATGAAAAGGTAATCAACATCATTGATCATCAGAAAAATGCAAATCAAAAACTACAATGAGATATCCCCTCACTCCAGTTAAAATGGCTTTTACCCAAAAGTCAAGCAATAACAAATGCTGGCAAGGATTTGGAGAAAAAGGAACCCTTGTACACTGTTGATGAGAATTTAAGTTAGTACAACCACTATGGAGAACAGTTTGGAGTTTCCTCAAAAAACTATAGATAAAGCTATCATATGATCCAGCAATCTCACTGTTTGGGAATACCCCGAAGAAAAGAAACCAGTATATCAAAGAGATATCTGTACTCCCATGTTTATTGCAGCATTATTCACAAAGATTTGGAAGCAACCTAAGTATCCATCAACAGATGAATGGATAAGGAAAATACGGTACTTTACTATTCAGCCATAAAAAAAAAAGATCCTGTCATTTACAACAACATGGATGGAACCAGAGGTCATTAGGTTAAGTGAAATAAGCCAGGCATAGAATGATAAAATTCACATGTTCTCACTTATTTGTAGGAGTCAGAAAATAATTAAAATAATTGAACTCATAAAGAGTAGAAGGATGGTTACCAGGGACTAGGAAGAGTAGTGAGGGGGTAGGTGGAGTGGGGATGGTTAGTGGATACAATAATGTAGTTAGATACAATGAATAAGATCTAGTATTTGCTAGCTAGCACAACAGGGCAACAGGATGACTATAGTAAAAAATAATTTATTTTCATATTTTTAAATAACTAAAAGAATATAACTGGATTCTTTGTAACACAAAGAAAGGATAAAGGCTCGAGGTATGGATATCCCATTTACCCTGATGTGATTCTACCTGTATCAAAATATCTCATCTACCTCATAAACATATACATCTTCTATGTACCCACAAAAATTAAAAATTAAAAATGAGAAAAAGAAGAGGGTCATTCTCTCAAATAAGAGAAATGGATTACATAGAAAAAAAGAGAAATGGCCTAAGTAATAGGGTTGTCGGATTTAGCAATAATTGGGACATTCTTGCAAAGAAATAAAGAGAGAAAGAGGAAAGAAAGAAAGAAGAAAAGAAGGAAGGAAGGAAAAAAAGAGAAGAGAGAGGGAGGGAAGGAGGGAGGGAGGGAGGGAGGGAGGGAAGGAGGGAGGGAAGGAAGGAGGGAGGGAAGGAGGGAGGGAGGAAGGGAGGGAGGGAGAGAGAGAGAGAAAGAAGAAAGAAAGAAAGAGAGAGAGAGAAAGAAAGAAAAGAAAGAAAGAGAGAAAAAAATACTTCTTTATATAACTGAAATTCAAATTTAAAAAAAAAAATCAATGAATGACCCTGTGACAGACCCTGAACTCCAGACCCTGAACAAGAGACCCTGAATTCCAATGTCCTTTTCCAAGGCACAGGCACTCAAGTGGACCCAAAGAAATGGCTTGTTCATATCATGACCTTTTTGTTCATATCTCTAGCTTTAATATATCCAAATTAAGAAAAAAATAAATGAATATTGATAATGTATGGTATGTGTCAGAAGAGAAGTAGAGAATGGACACATGAGTTCATAGGAGAATTGTCTTGGACACGCATAAGTTTCACCCATGTCTGTGGCCTCCTGGAGCTCTCTGTGGCCCCAAAAATATGTAAAACAGGGATATAGGGTACAGTAATACCAATTCAGGAACACATAAGTAAGGACTACTGTGTAGTGGTTAAAAGCACAACCTTCTGGATAAGACAGTCTTTATCTAAACCCTATGTGTAATTAACTAGCTGCATCTCCCTGTATAAGAATCTTAATCTCCGGGCCAGGCATGGTGGCTCACACCTTTAATCCCAGCACTTTGGGAGGCCGAGGCGGGTAGATCCTGAGGTCAGAAGTTCGAGACCAGCCTACCCAGCATGGTGAAGCCCCGTCTCTACTGAAAATACAAAAAATTAGCCAGGCATGGTGGCACGCACTTATAGTAGTCCCAGCTACTCAGGAGGCTGAGGCAGGAGAATTGCTTGAACCTGGCTGGTGGAGATTACAGTAAGCGGAGACTGTGCCACTGTACACCAGCCTGGGCGACAGAGTGAGACTCCATCTCAAAAAAAAAAAAAAAAAAAAAAAAAGAATCTTAATCTCACTGTGACCTAACAATTTTATCTGTAAATAGGGATATTTTATTGCTTATATTATTTAAGTCTAATACCATCCCTACACCTGAGCAAGAGGGATCCTGGCCTAGAGCTCCATGTTTTAAATGACCTTACAGGTCACAAACATAAAATATATCCATTTTTAATAGAATACATAGACACCTCTCTTACAGGGATATCCTGTGCTAAGCCTGGGCAGGGCCTGATCCATAATCCTAAACATCTTAGGTTACATGATTAAAACTGGTCATGCCCCAAGAAAACTGCCTCATATTCTATGCTTTTGAAATAAAAAAGATCAAAAAAACTTATCCAAAGTGCCTAAAACAGTGCTTGACACTTACTAGCTATTATTTTCAATGTCCTTGAATCCAGAAGTTCTCTCTCCACTGTATTCAGTCTTCATCTCTGAGAGACCTGTTGGAAAATTCAATTTCCAAATATGCACAGCTAAGAACTAGGCCTTGAACTCCAGTGACATTTTCCAAGGCGATAGGCAATTCTATGCCCAAGGACTATTCTCCACTTCTGAAGCTACATGTACTGAACATATTAATTTATAATTTACTCTCACTAGTTCCAAAAAGATTTAAAGGTGGCTTATGGCCATGTAAAATTGAACAAGATGACATAAATTGCAAGAAAGAAAAAATAATAACCAATATGTATAGGGTAGTTACTCTGTGACAGGCACAATGCCAGATACTTTATAACGTTATCTCAATTAAGCCTCCCAGCAATATATTTCAGATGAGAAAAGTGGAGCACAAAGAGGCTCGACCTTTTGCCCAAGGTCACATAGCTTGTAAATACCAGAACCAGGATTGGCTTTATTGCATTGAAAGTAATGTGTTCTTCTAATGAAATTTTCTAATTTGGTTATCTTTATAGTCTTACTTCCTAATAAATCATCTTCTTTTTTTCTTGAGGTTAGCAAATGTATCATGACTGAATTAAGAAATAAATCAACATTTTACTTCTTTCACTAACATGAAGGTCCATGGGATTTCTGTACTTTAAAGATTGTTCATGATATTTAGTAGTTTCTACATGATCAATGATAAAGTGCCTCAAAAATTTTGAGGAAGAAATCAATTCCATTTTAACAAAATTTAAATTGTATAAACTGTCTTTAAGTTCTGAAAAACCTTTAACTTGCTTTCTTAACATTAAGAACAACTCAGAAGTATATATACTCAAAGTGTTTATATAACATAAATCATATTCTTACTTTCCATTTTCCTGAAAGTTGATAGTTTTGCTGATATTCACAGTCTCAAAAAATGATGAATTTGCAGATCATGTTTTTCCCCATGACAAAACCTAATTCATCCACAATGCTGAAGAAAGAAAGTCATTAACCTAAAGTCAGAAGGATAAAATACAAAGTCAAAAAGGTTAAAAACACAAATAAACCATCCTTCTTTTTATCAAAGTACCAGGCCGTTCCATCAGAGATGTTTGAAGTCCTCAAGTGCTGTCCTGGCTGTCAGAAAAAAAAATGACATAATTTTTCCAAATCCCAGTCTCCTGGAGTTAAATCGTCACTTCATCCATAAATACCGCTGATCTCTAAAAACCTCCAAACCCCTCCTTATCTCAACATGGTCTGATAAAATTGTGCATTTTAAAAGAGGAAAGTGGGTAGAGGAAAGAGAAACACCAATAGTCCATTTCTCTCATTCTTCTACCAAAATCTCAGGACAAAAAATGCCAATTAGTCAGGTTTTCTATTTCTTTTTCTCTCTTTTCTTTTCTTTTCTTTTCTTTTCTTTTCTTTGTTGTTGTTGTTTTTTTGTTTAGTTTTTTTTTTGTTTTTTTTTTTTTTGAGATGGAGTTTCTCTCTTGTGCCCAGGCTGGAGTGCAATGGCGCCATCTCAGCTCACTGCAACCTCCGCCTCCCGGGTTCAAGCGATTCTCCTGCCTCAGCCTCCTGAGTAGCTGGGATTACAGGCATGAGCCACCACACCCGGCTAATTTTTGTATTTTTAGTGGAGATGGGGTTTCGCCATTTTGGCCAGGCTGGTCTCAAACCCCTGACCTCAGGTGATCCACCCACCTCGGCCTCCCAAAGTGCTGGGATTACAGGCATGAGCCACCCTGCCGGCCAGGTTTTCTAGATCTAAAGATAAAGATGGCTGCCGATAGATGCAGTAGGTTGCGATTAAGATGTGTTGAGCCCTTCCTGACAAAGCACTTGGTTAGAGAAAAGGTGGAAGAATTTTGATCCATCTCAGGAAATCAGCAAATTGATTTGATTGACCTCCAAGGCACACTTTGTGACTGCTGTGTACACCATTCATGGTGAGTTCCACACTGCCCCACTGGATCTTTCCATCAGAGAAGGCCTAATTTCCCTTGTGCATCACCACCAACGTTGTATGAGAAATAGAGGTTCACTCCTCACTGTCTTAATTACTCAGTGACTGTTCAAAGAAAACCCAGTGATGATTAGTTCAATTGCTTTAAACTTGATTAGAAAGACGAAGTTTATTAACAGTGAAACTTAAAGCATTTATGGTCATAACATGTTGACCAGTTAAAATCTGCATTTACTCTGTATACTCAAAGAGGACTTTTACCAATCAAGATATACTCAACATCTATACCTAATCATATGCCATTAGGGGTCTCATTTAACCTTTCCTCAAAGTGTGATAATTTCAACAATTTGACGGAAATATTCCCCTGTAGACACTTAGGATCTTCTGCCTTATTCTAAAACTTAAACCAGGCATTTGTGTACACAATAGCATCCTGAATCGGAAAAAGTAAGGTGTGTATCAATCTTTATGTTTCTGTTTAATGGCAATGGCTTATATTCCCAGATGTCGTTGTGTTGAAGAAGCAAGTTCTTCAGATGGGAAGGGGTTTGTATTGTTTTTCAGGATCTTTGAAAGCTAATTTCACTTGTGCCAGACTCACTCTGTCATTTCATTTCCCTGCCCTGCTGAGGTATTGTGAGGATGGGCTATAAGTGAGTCATATGAAAGTCCTTTGATGCTAGGGCTGGAGAAGATAAGATTCCAGCTATGCTGCTACTTATTCTGAGCCCTAGTTACCCCATTAGTAAGTGAGGGAGATAAACTGTATATAATGGTTAGCATTCACTAAATGCTATGTGTCATGCTCAGATCTAAATCTTTATTGATATTGCCTCAGTTAAGCCTTATAGACAACTCTATTAGGCCAGTTTTATTATAAACTTGTTCTATGATAAGGACAACAAAGCACATAGAAATTCAACAACTCACCCTAGGTCACACAGCCAGTTAGTGAGAGAACTAGGATTAGAACCCAGATGATCTGATTCCACAGGTGGGCTTTTGAACTCTACATTCTATGTCTATAGTGGTTTATTTCTAGCCCAGTCAACCTGGAAGTCTAAAAAATACACTATACTGCATTTTTGAATCTTGAAATGATGGGTTTTGTTGTTGTTGTTGTTGTTGTTGTTGTTGTTTTTTCCCATCTTCTAGCATCACCAGGTAGGTATTGTTGGCTGGCTGACGCTAGTCCTCACTCTGTCCTACTGACTTCTCCCCTTTGGTCCAGGCCTGCTCACTAACTACATCTGTGGTCGAGATTTCTAGCGTCAGATAATCCTTGAGCACGCAATCATTAAACCCCAGCAGCATCTCAGGGTATCATTTTAAGAAATATATTTGCAACCAGGAAATTGCTATATTCCAAACAGCTGAACACCTTTCAGAGACATTTTATTTGAAGAGTAAGTTTCTTGCCCTACATCTGAAAAATCCACTAACGCCCAACTTTTTTCCTTACAGTTCAAATATTGGAACTGCTTTTGCATCCTAAACTGCCTCTTACCCTAAGGCAAAAGCAAGATTAGTCAAAGAGCTAATTATGCAGATTTCTCTATTAGATTCTTCAGCTTAACAGATTCTGAAAATACTTGCCTATCAACTGTAGAGAAAACATTGATTTCTGTGGTTAGGCACCCACTGGGCAGAGATTTCAGATCAGCCCCACTGTGTTACACATGGAATTGAATAATAATGCTGGCTGGAGTGGCCATCATAAAGTTCTAATCTAAAGCTGTCTGCTGCTGTTTTATTATAGCCTTACAGCTATTTCCCCCACTACCCACTGGCCCACCAGCAGTACCAGAGTCTCCAGTAATAGAACAGAATACTCACTGGATTATTTGGCTTCTCTCTACTTGCTGGTGGAAAGATGGGCTGTTAAAACATTTGTGTGGGTTGAAAAGCTTTTATACATAATTGTAAAGCAGCAACAACCCTGGGGTCTGTTTCTTTCCAATGCTGAGAAATAGATTTTACAATCTCAGTTTGTTTTAGAGTTAACGGATGCAGATTCAAAAGACCCCTCTGTACTCAAAATCTAAGCTGTAAGAATAAAAGAGTAACATTTGAAAAAGAGGAAAAAAAGTAAGACCAACAGCATAGCCAAGGTCACTGTGAATGTACTTTTGACTTATCCACTGAATCACCACCTTCTATAACCAACTGGCTTAAGAATGTCTCGGTTACAGCCAGTAACCCAGTGGTATGATTTTGGCCAAATCACTCCACCACCTGACTTTTGTTTATTTATCAAGAATGACTTAATCTCAAAAACATCATTCATCTAAAAACAGAGTTTGGAATAACTACAGATCTGTGTTTGAATCCTGGCCTCAACATGTATTAGCCATGTGACTCCGATTAAATACAACCTCTCTAAGCCTCAGAGTTTGCACCTGTGAAATGGGCACTAAGTGTACTAATATACCAGCCTCACAGAGTGTTGTAAGAAATGAACTAGATAATGCACATAAAGGATTCTCACATGGGGAAATCTTGCCCATCCTTCTCAGGGGATACTCAGCAGTGTCTGAGGGCATTTTGGGTTTTCACAAAAGGAGGAGGATGCTACTGGCTTCTAGTGAATACAGGCGAGGGATGATGCTCATCATCCTACATGCATAGAACAACATTTTACAACAAAATGTCAATCTTGCAGAGATTGGAAATCCCTGGATGTAACATCTGGCTTACTGAAAGTATTGAGTAAACTGTGGTGAGGTGATGATGGTGGTTATGGTTGACCTTAGAGATCATCAAATTGAAAAGAATAAATTTTGGAGTACATAAACATTCTATGAGGATACATTTTCCTTGTGGAATAGAAGATTTAGTTCCTCCTTCAGGGCTCTTCCTTGATCAGATCGAAAAGGCTCTGGGATCAGCATGAAGTCTATATCTTTACACCTAAGCCCTGCAGACTCCAGCCAAATATTTATGCCATATCCCAAATCCAAGTTCAGCCAAATAATGTGAGGCCCTGGAATTTTCCACTGTTCTATCAGCCTAATCAGAAAGGGCTCCAAACTTAATTAATTTGCATTATAATTCTTCTCTTTTCCAAATTAATAATCTACTGTAGGTCAACCATAAATCATTTACTCCAAAAAGTCCTATGTAGTAATTACTCCTTTCCAATCCAGTGCACTAAATTAGATTATAATTATTAGTCACACTTGCAGCTTTCATTTAGACTCCAACTCCAGCCAACACAAAACAAATGTTTGGAATGTTTATAAGCATTTCCTTTCTCTTTAACTTGACAGGCTTTTTTGCATTCAATAAAAATCATTATATAAACATTGGGTTTGCTTAATATCATGCAAATTATAAGAATGAACAACTTGGCAAACATCAATCCACACAGTTCCACAGCCCCATAGACCTGGCAGGCCAGGAAAGGGTGATGTTATGTGAAGGGCAATAAGAGGTCCATTGGCACTAGATTGTCTTTCTGATGGGTCTGGAAGACAGTCTGAAGGTCTCGGTGTGTATTTGTGTTTTACTGTTAGTGTACGTCTGATCCACCTGGCTTTAATCTCTAGGGAGAAGCATAGCATAGTGATAAGAATGAACTTTGAAGCCAGGTTTCATGGGTTCATACACCAACCTCATCAGCTCATCTACCAGCAAACTGGCCTTTAGAAGGTCCTTCTTTAAGATTCAATTTCCCATCTGAAAATTACATGTAATAACAATAATAAGTCACAGAGTTGCGGTGAGAGTGAAATAAAACAATGCCTGGGACCTAGTAAAAACTTTATAAATATTGGTCTCTACTATGTCATTAAAGCAAAGACTGTGTCTGTTCTGTTCCCCACTGCAGAGCTAGTCCTCAGTACAGCTCTGCTTGCAGAGATTATGAGTTCAATAAAAAGTTGTTGTCTGATTAAATGTAGGCTATTGACCAGCAGGGTAAACTTGGGTTACTTATTTGACCTCCCTGAACCTCAACATATTAATTTACATGGGGGGAGGGTTGTCACAAAAATTAAGTGAGCTCATGTTAGTGTCGATGCCTGACACAAAGCATTTGTTTAATAAATATTGGTGGTCATGAAAATTACTATCATTATTAGCTGTGTGTGCCTTGAACAAATCTCTTCATTCTAAGTTTTGGTTTTCTTATCTGAAAAAAAAGACTTGATTCAATTTCTCAGGTGAAATTAGAGAATTGTTCCTGGGCAGTGATGATGGTTTGCCAGGAAGGTGTGATGAAGGGGGAGTGGACAAATGAGTGAGGGTGTTTACAAAGGAGCCATCATCGTGATGTGACATGAAGAGTAAAAATGGAACTGAGGCTCTTAATGGGTAAATGGATAAGGAAAAGGCTTGCAGAGTGATAGGAGTGGAGTCCTCCAGTTCCCTGCTGGTGTGGGAGTTCCAGAGTAAGGGAGGTGACGGGCTGGAGGTCAGAGTGGGATGCTTGAAAAGACTTTTGGCAGGGGTGCAGGTAGCTGCTGTCAATCCTTCCCCTACTCTTTTATGCACATTAGCATCCAAAAAATATTTACTGATGAATGAATATTTTGAGTCATTTTTCAGGAAGAGCTTGCTTAGAGTTCATGAGGAATATTTGAACTCTGAATGAAAATATTTCCCACAACATTTTTCTTGCTGTCTGGTTGATATGCAGAATTAGTGCTGCTTCTCTACCATTTATTCAATAAATATTAAAATATGTACTGGGCATCATTTTAAATTCTTGAGACATAGCATTGTATTAATACCCCAAAATAGAAATTTTATTTTATATGGTTTGACTTAATTTTCATGAATCAATCTCTGCCAGTGTGGCGCTTACATTCTAGAGGGGGAACAGATTGTAAAATCAAACATGACTTAGTTGTATTATATAAAAAGGATAAGGGCTATGGAAAAGGTAAAGTAGAGGAGGAGCAGGAGCATCCAAGGGTTCGATTTTAAGTAAGATGGTTGGGGTAAGCTTCATTGAGGTGACCTTTAAGTAGTAGTTAAAGGAAAACTCCAACTCTATGCTCCCTTAGGGAACAAATTCCCTCTTGGCATTAATGTGGCTGAGCAGCCTATTGTTCAAGGCATCCTTCTAGATCTCAGCATTTGGATGGTCCAGGTCATTACCATCCGTTCTCTTATGTCTAAACATGATTTTCTCTCTCCAGCAGGATAATAAAATCACCATCATGAAGAAGCCGTCTCATGAGAAAACGCACTATGTGAACTCCCAACACTGCTGAAGAGTCACCACCTCTAGTTTGTCAGATAAGCTCTTCAGATGGCCAGTTGTCCCCTTCAGGATCCTGGGATGGGACCATGTACGTCTAGCAATATAAAACTGGTACTGGCATTACCAGCAGGTGCCCTTCTGAAAACCACTGGAATGTCTCTGGCTCCTAAAATAAGATAATTAGGTAGTAGAGTGCCCTGGGATGTGGATGCTTACCTTTCAGAACTAGACTTGGGTTCATTCTCACCTGACTGCCTCAGCCACCTAGGAAACATGACCCAGGTGACCATTATCTCAGAGGCTTCTGTCGGGCCTCTGCAGGAATAAATGCAGGCTATTCTCTAGGCAATCAATGAGAATAAGAGCCTCTATACCTTTATTGAAAGAGACATTAACAACTGCTACTGGTTTAGTGAAATGCAGGGTTCAAGGAAGGAGTCGAGGACCCAATTGAAGAAATAACAAGCAGTCATGCCAGGAATACATCCCAAACCACAACCCTGTCTTGTACATGGACACTCAGACAGTTTGCTTGCTCTAGGAGGTAGCAGGGAGAAGCCTCCAAAAAGAACTTATCTGGCCACAGCCTAAGAAAGGAAGAAATTAAGTTTTAAAAAAGAAACTTTTCTCCATCCATGTAACGTAGCTTATTTGTAAATATCTAGAAGAAACAACTGTAAAAATACATGTCTTGGTCATTGCCACAGAAGAATAAGGTAGAGAACAAACATCTTTAATTTAATGAGGACACAACCCGTCTAGACAATCAAGCTCCTAAAGAATAAGAGGTCTAGTGGGTAACTAACACAAGTGTTTAAATAGCTTAAACTAGACCTTAATATTTACATAATGGCTTCAATCCTTTGCTTTCCAGCCACGCTGTGAATGTTTTTGAATTGGGGAAATTCTTCATTCACTCAACTCAGTATTCTTCTTAAACAAACCTAAAATGAAATCACTTAAAAACTCAAGAGTAGAATTACTTTCAAAGTATTTTTAATGCAATCTCAATTCCAATTTGAGAATTCAATATAAATTCTGCACCCATTTAGATAATTGTTTGAGCTTTGGGATTCCTGTTACTCTGCAATTCATATCAAACCTGTTGAGAGTTTTCCAGCATGAAAAAGAAAACAAATTTTGGCTTTCTTAAATTTTATTAAGAAAGTAATAAAATATTTCCTTTCAATTGAACCATTCATTTAAGCTAGTACAAGCATGTAGTTTAAAAATCAACTAGTAAGATAAAGACCAAAGTACCACTTTTCTTTTTTGAAATTGTACTGGATTAACATTCATCTGGAATAGGCTTAGAAATAATCTAGTCTAGTAGTTGTCTTCTTTGGATCAGGGACCCCTTTGAGAATCTAATAGGAGCTATGGATCCCTTCCCCAGGAAATCTATGTTTGTGTAATTTCAAGGGATTCATGGAACTAGGAGCTCTATAAAATCTATATTTAAAAATCTATAGTCCAAATGAAAGCATTCCCTTTTTAAATGAAAACTTCGTGGCTCAGAAAATGGAAAGAATCCAATGTCAATTAAACAGTTAAAAGGAAAGAGCAAGATTCGCTTCTTTGTCTGCTAATTCCCGGAATCTGTATACTTCCTACTATGTCACATTACCTCTCTGGGAAGGAGAAACAGCAAGCCATGTTCCTTCAAAATTCTCTTACTTTCTCTCAAGTTATAATAAAATATGGAAACACATAGAACAGTATTTTACACAGTGACATACCATGGCACAGTTAATGAATGAAGAAAAGATGAGTTTATTGGTTAATTGCCACATCTTAGAGATTAATAAAGAACCTCAACATACTAAAGGTTCTGAGAAGTCCTGCAATAAACAAACTGCATTTTACATTGATTAACATAATTTCCCAAACTTATTTGAGCATGAAACAATTTTTAACACACACTTATTAACTAGTATTCTTGTATACAATATTCTAAAGGATGCCAACTGGGGAAACACTGCAATTGGTGCAACATGCCTATGTTATCATTGCCCTCATCATTTTTTACAGACCCTTGACTGTGGTGTTAGTGCATAAGCTCATGGCAAATGTGGATCACATTTTTTGCAATGTGAAATCCCAAGGGCCCAAAATGTTACCAGGTCACATCTCCTGGGAAGCCAGCCCAAATGAGAAGCCAGGTATGGGAAAGGTACTGCCCCACATGTGCAGCTATTCTAGTTATCTATTGTTAAATAACAACCCATCATAAAATTTTGGATCTGAAAAACAACTTAATGTTATCTCTTAAGATTATGTGGGTTTACTGGGTTCAGCTGGGCAGAATTTTCTTCAGATTTGTCATGCTGTTGCAGTCACATAGCAGCTGGTGCTGGAGTCATTTGAAGGCTTGACTGGGATGGAGGTCAAAAATTATGCACTTAATTGGCTGGAAGTTGATGCTTATTGTCATTTGGAAACTCAACTAGAGCTGTCAGCCAGAGTACCTAACTGTAGTTTCTTCAGTTGACTTGGGTTTCTAATAAGATGGTGGCTGAGAGATCTGAGAACATCTTAAAAGCAAGAATTCCAAAAAATTCAGCCAGCAGCTGCAAGGTTTCTTAGAACCTAGGCTTGGAAATCCCAGAACTGCACTCCCACTATATTCTATTGATCAAGCAAGTCACTAAGGCCAGCCTATATCCAAGGGAAGAGGAATTAGACTCTACCTCTTTTTTTTTTTATTATTATTTCCACAGATTTTCAGGGAACATGTGGTGTTTGGTTACATGAGCAAGTTCTTTAGTGGTTATTTCTGAGAGTTTGGTGCACCCATCACCTGAGAAGTATACACTGTACCCAGTTTGTAGTCTTTTATCCCTTGCCTTCCTCCCACCTTTTCCCCTGAGTCCCCAAAGTCCATTGTATCATTCTTATGCCTTTGCATCCTCATAGCTTAGCTCCCACTTACAAGTGAGAACATACAATGCTTGCTTTTCCATTCCTGAGTTACTTCACTTAGAATAATGGTCTACAGTTCCATCCAGGTTGCTGTGACTGCCATTATTTTGCTCCTTTTTATGGCTGAGTAGTATTCTGTGATGTGTATATAGACATAGATATATATCTCACAATTTTTTTATCCATTTGTTGATTGATAGGCATTTGAGCTGATTCTGTATTTTTGCAATTGCAAATTATGCTGCTATAAACATGCATGTGCAAGTATCATATAATGACTTATTTTCCCCTGGGTAGATAACCAGTAGTGGGATTGATGGATCAAATGGTAGTTCTACTTTTACTTCTTTAAGGAATCTCCACACTGTTTTCCCCGGTGGTTGTACTAGCTTACATTCCCACCATCAGTGTAAAAGTGTTCCCTTTTCACCACATTGCCCCCAACATCTACTTTTTTTTTATGATGGCCATTCTTGCAGGAGTAAGGTGGTATTGCATTATAGTTTAGATTTGCATTTTCCTGATCATTAGTGATGTTGAGACTCTACCTCTTAATGAAGAAATAGCAAAGAACTTGTAATGTTTTACTTTACACCTATCAAAAATCTTGTTATTTTGTATTATAATAACCTGTTTACTTGAGCATCTATACAGTTATACTATAATCACTTTGGGGGTAGGATTAGTGCTCAGTCATTGCTCTATCCTAATCCTTAGGAGTCAATCAATATTTGTTCAACAAATAAGTAAATGAATGCAAGAGTGGTGAATGAGTAAGTGAGTGAAAGAAGAGAGTAAGATTATCTTAAAGAAGCTTAATTGTGAAGAGTTTTTTAAAAATTGTATTCATCAAGATGAAATATATTTGAGCATGTTTACATACAGAAAGTAAAGACCTAATAGAGAGTGCAGTTGAGATTACGAAAAGGGAAGAGATGGTGGTTAGAACCAAGTTCCTTATGAGATCAAAAGGACATGATCCATAGCAAGGTGGAGGGATTGGTCTTAAGAAAGGAGAGAAACATCTTCAGTAACACACCAAGTAAAGAGGAAAGGCTGTGTAAGATAAAAAGAAGCCTGTGAACAGAGAGGGGAGCATTGGAAAATTATGCCTAGGGCCTGATTGCCTCAAACTAAGTAAAATAGTGGAAAAAATGTAGAGCTGCATTATAGCTCTAAGTGCCCTGTATTAATCTGTTCTCACACTGCTATAAAGAAATACCCGAGACGGGTAATTTCTAAAGAAGAGAGATTTAATTGGCTCATGGTTGCACAGGCTGTACAGGAAGTGTGGCATCATGTGCTTCTGAGGAGGCCTCAGGGAGCTTTCCCTCCTGGCGGAAGGCAAAGTGAGGGCAGGCATCTTGCAAGGCAGAAGCAAGAGACAGGGTGAGCGAGGTTCACACACTTTTAAACAACCAGATCTCATGATAACTCTCACAGAACAGCACCAAAGGGATGGTGCCTGACCATTCATGAAGGATGCACCCCCTAATCACCTCCCTCCAGGCCCCACCTCCAACACTGGGGACCACAGTTGAACATGTGAGGACAGAGATCCAAACCATATCATGCCCTAAATTTCATTCAGTTATTTACTCATTCAATATGGATACATGCCAACTATGGGCCAAGTGCTATAGCAGTGTACTACAGGCTAGTGATTTCTACCAATGGTGAAGTGAGCACATCAATTTCTGAACTTTTCAAAGGACTTCTCATTCTTGATTATAAAAATTTTAAAACTCACTGATTATTAAGTTCACAGTATTCAGAAGCAAATGGATTTGGGGAAAAGTATTAATGCACCTTGCTACTATTCACCATTCATCCTCCCTATGGCTCCCATACATTTCCACAAAGCCACAGAGAAATTTGCAGTTGAGAGTAGATTCAGAAAGAGCATAGGTGGTGAGGCAGGAGAGTTAATGAATTTGATTAACAGCCAATGACACTTTGTAAGTAAAATATATACATAAACTAAATTCTTCCTTTTAGAACCCGGTGTTAGAAAAAACTTTTCATCCCTTAATGAATGTATTTTTAAAGTTATTAATTAATTTTTCTTTCATTTTCAATCATCAGTTATATCATTGCTTAAGTTAGAATATGATTACAATAATTATCTCATTGTGAGTACTAATACATATATGCCTCTCCTCTTTCTACTTTATTTATGGTATTTAAAAAAAGATTTGCTGTCTTGTTTGTTTGGATTAAGTGTAGAAGTTATTCAAAATTGCATTGGAAGTGGGTAGGATATACACTAATTATTTAAAGAAATGCTGAACAAAAGTAGCAGAATGAGCTGGCCACTAAGATCATCACTCTATCAATCCTGAAGCAATGCTTGTCTTAATATAACTCCATGGACCCGAACATATAAGAGGAATGGATACAATAGGACACTCAAATTGTTGGTATAAGTCATGTAAGAGGTTAATACATGAGAGATCCCAAGTGTAGTGAAAGAAGAAATGCTTCCAGAATTCTAGAAAACACTTAAAGCAGTTCAATAGGAGTTACTCCGTTTATTATACCATATTTATATATAAATGTTGGTCTAATCCTTTAGAGTTTATAATTCCCAAATCAATTACAGGTAGAGCATATTGTTTGAGGCTAAGGCCTCAGATTAACTCTAAAAAGAAATTCAATTACATAAATTCATAGACTTGTTTATTCAATGACTGTATATTAACTACTATGAATTGGGTACTCTACTGGGAACTAGAGCTACATCAGGAGACAAAAGGACATGATCTTGACCTCATGGAGCTTAGAAACGAGTAAAGAAGCCAGATATTTGGTAAAAATGAATAGCATATGTAATGGGCTAAATAGTGGTCCCTAAAATATGTTCATATCCTAATCCCCAGAAGGTGTGACTATTACCTTACATGGCAAAAGATATGATTAAGTTAAAGACTCTTGAGAGGAGGCACTTATCCTGACTTATCTGGGTTGACCTGAAATTCAATCACATCCATTATTATAAGAGAGGGGCAGAGGAAGATTACACAGACAAGCATAGGAGAAGGTGACATGAAAACGGAGGCAGCAATTGGAGTGACACAGCCATTAGCCACAGGACACAAAGGAATGCCTGCAACCACCAGCAACTGGAAGGAGTAAAGAACGGACTCTCCCACAAAATCTCCAGAGGGACTGTGGCCTTGCCAACTCATTGATTACAGAACTGCGAGAGAATAAATTCTTGTTTTAAGCCACTGAGGTTGTAGTAATTTGTTATAGCAGCGCTAGGAAACTAACACAGCACAAAAACTGCAATATAATTATAATTTTTGACAAATGTCGAAAATGAAAAGTACAGAATGATAACAGTAGAACATGGAAAACTACATTGTATTGAGTATAATAAGGAGAGGGACAAGGGAAACAATATAGACTCAGTTTATGGAATATCTGGTTAATAACCATAGTGCTAAACACAGGCACACACTTGTATGCATGCATTGCCAGAAAAATGCCCTACCAAGCCCACATTCCAAAACATAAAATTATGTGTGTGTGTGTGTGTGTGTGTGTGTGTGTGTGTGTGTAGATAAATAGGCAATTTAAAACTTTGTGGAAATATATATTTATACTATAAACAGTAGTTTAAAATTAATTAAAATTAAAAGGTTTTGATAACAATGCTGATTATATTATTCTAATTCTAGATTAGAATTTCTCATAATGTTATCATGGATTTAGTTTAATATTTGATCTCCCCAAAAGGTTTCCTAAAATTCAAACAGGACATGAAATTTTATATCTTCAAAAAAATGTGTAGATAACTTTGTCAATACCACCTGGTGATGGGGCACTTTGTGAACCCCAGAATATGACTGAGGGTATCCAGAACACCAAGTGCAGTAGGAGCTACACAAATTCAAGATTTGAGGGTCGTGAGTGGCATGAAATTAAAAGGGACAACCGAGGTCATCAGGATAGATGCAGAAATGGAAAAAACTACACAATTATTTCTTCTCAAAAGTGGAGAACACCTCTTTAGGTAGAGCCCTGGGTTGAAGGATCTGAGACTGATTAGCAAAACTGGAAAACATTCTCAGAGGCTTCAATTTGGAAGTGACTGAAAAAAGGTATTTATTATTTGGATATGTAATGAAATCAGTGGTTTTTTCCTAGATTAAGCTCTTAAGAAATTCAGAAATATCCATAAAATATTCCCATCCAAAAGACAGGGCTCTAGCCTAAGGAAAGATGACAGTAAACAGCAGCCTAACTGAGCAGGATCAGAACACTGGGGACTAAAAAAGAGAGAAGGCTTCCTCAGAGGGGTAGAAGCCCAGAGAACACAGATCCTAGAAAGTCTCAAAGTCACATCGCAGAGAATATAGTGTTAGGGACAAACAGCACAGGCTGAGGCAGAACAATTATCTGAATCAGACGTAATGTTAAGAGACTAAGAAGTGGCTACAGAGAGTCATGAATTGAGTCTTTCAAGCTAATAAGAGAGGAGAGAATCCTCAATATGAAGCTGTGAAAACCACCCTGACCTCTTACCCCTCCCAGAGGAACCTTCTCATAGTAGCCCAGGAAAACCCATTCCATTCAAACATGAAAAAGAAAAAGGGATATGATCGAACACTTTATGAAGTTATTAAAAGGCATAAAAAGTTGAAAATCTCATAATGTTTCACAAGGCAATAAGAACATACCAACAATAAGTATGACTTTAAAGCAGATGAAAACCTCTTACCTATTTTTTAATGAGCTAAAATAAAGAAAATAATTGAATCTTTAAAAATCAGCAAAAATCAGAAAGAGAATAGTTCAAAAATGACATCTCTAGACAACAGGAATAAGGTAAAGGATAATTACTGAAATTTTCAAGAGTATTAAAAATATATTTCAGATTAAGATCAAATTACAAGAAATACAAAACAAACACAAACACAAGAGGAAGTAAATACAATCTATAGCAACGAAAGGAAATAAATTACAGAAAATAGATAAGTAAAAGAAAATTCACATAGATATTTCCCTTTTTTTTTGCAAGATGACAGACTAGAAGCTTTTAATATGCCTCAGCCACTTGAAAATAGCAAGATAGTGCATAAAGATCAACTCTCTGAGCTTTAATTCAGAAAACGGGAATCTACCAGAATCCTGAAGGCTATCACAGATCCCAGGGAGGCAAACAGCCCCGTGACAGCATTCAGCTGATAAAAAAGATTGTGGTGCAGCAGGGCTTTCTCTGTTTGATGCCTAGGCACATCTCCAAGGAATCCAAGCACCCACTTACCCAGAATAGCAGCCTGAGCTTCCCCACCCTTCCTGTGCAGAGATTGTGGTAAAGCAGGGCCTCTCCACTTCATGCCCAGGCAGATCTCCAGGCACTCAGAACACCCACTCACCTGAAACAGAAGCCTGAGCCAGCTCACCCCTCCTGTGCAGAGACCATGGTGAAACATGGCCCTCTCTTCTCCACATCCAGGCATATTTTCCAGCAGTCAGAGCATCTGTTACCAGCCTGAGCTGCCCTACCCTTCCTGGGCAGGGATTGTGGTGTAGCAGGGCCATCTGCACAGCCAGGCAGGTCTCCAGGCACCTGAAGCACCCACTCTCCTGGATTAGGGGTTTAGGCCACCCCCATACCCATGCAGATAACTTGGAGCTGAGGAGGTTTCTCAGCTCCACATCTGGGCACACCTCTGAGTACTTGGTGGTCACCCACTTGATTCTTCCTCAGCACTGGTGCACATGTCTGCCATTGGGGGACCTATAAATAGGTCTGCCCAGTCTGGACCTGCTGATGATGTTCCCATGTTTTCCCAAGGCTGAGCAGGGATCTCAGACTACTGTGCACTCCACAGATCAGCCCATTGCCTGAGGTAATGAGAGCTTCTCCTAGTAAACAAGAGTCAAGTATGTACACAGACACATTGGCCACAGCTGGTTCTTACCCATAAGTGCTATGTATTGCCTTGTAGATTGAACCACACATCCCAATATAAAATCTGCTGAAAGAAATGCATAGAGTTATAGAAGTAAAGCCAAACAACCCTACCCAACATTCTGTACAATCACACACCCCAAGGAGGGAGGACTAGGGGAATAAAAGGGAAAAAAAAATCATGTTATAGGGAAAGAAAGAAAAAGAAAAAAATTCTACTCACATGAAAATAATTACAAAAAATTAGCAATACCAGCATCTCCGGATGAGAAGAAACCACCACAAGAATTCTGACAACATGAAAAATCTGAATGTAGTGACACCACCAAAGGATTACACTAGCTCTTCAGCAATGTTTCCTAACCAAAATAGAAACTCATAAATGACAGATAAAGAATTAAAAGCATGGATTGCAAGGAAGCTCAATGAGATGCAAGACAAGTTGAAAATCAACATGAAGAAACTTCTAAAGCAATCCAGGAAATGAAGGAAAAGATGAGTGTGTTAAAAGGAACAAATCAGAGCTTCTGGAATTGAAAAACTCACTTAAGGAATTTCAAAATACAACTGAAAGTTT
Organism: Homo sapiens; assembly: GCF_000001405.40. NCBI lineage: Eukaryota > Metazoa > Chordata > Mammalia > Primates > Hominidae > Homo > Homo sapiens. The sequence continues at coordinate 90,050,554 of NC_000010.11, read as the reverse complement.
TAATCAATAGTCTGGACCAAGAAGAAGAAAAAATTTCCGAGCTAGAAGACTAATCTTTCAAACTAAGCAAGTCAGACAAAAAAAATTTTTTTTTTTTTTTTTTTTGAGACGGAGTCTCGCTCTGTCGCCCAGGCTGGAGTGCAGTGGCAGGATCTCGGCTCACTGCAAGCTCCGCCTCCCGGGTTCATGCCATTCTCCTGCCTCAGCCTCCCAAGTAGCTGGGACTACAGGCGCCCGCCACTACGCCCGGCTAATTTTTTGTATTTTTAGTAGAGATGGGGTTTCACCGTTTTAGCCGGGATGGTCTCAATCTCCTGACCTCGTGATCCGCCCGCCTCGGCCTCCCAAAGTGCTGGGATTACAGGCGTGAGCCACCGCGCCCGGCCCAAAAAAAATTTTTAACAAATAGAAATATAAACAAGTCTTCAAGAAATATGGGATCATGTAAAGTGACCAAATCTATAAATTATTGGCATTCTTAACTGACAAGAAGAAAAAGTAAACAACCTGGAAAACATATTTGAGGAAATAATTCAAGAAAACTTGCCTAATCTTGCTAGAGAGGTAGACATCCAGATACAAGAAATCCAGAAAAGACTTGTACATACAAGACACTATACAAGATGAGATACTGTACAAGATGAACATCACCAGGACATATAGCCACCAAGGTCAACAATAAAGAAAAAATCTTAAAGGCAGCTAGAGAAAAAGGTTAGATGATGTACAAAGGGAACTCCTTCAGCCTAACAGCAGGCTTCTCAGCAGAAAGCTTACAAGCCAGGAGAAACTGGAGACCTATTTTCAGCATTATATGATTATTATTATCATCATCATCATCATCATTATCATTATTTTTGAGACTTGGTTTTACTCTGTTGCCTCAGATGGAATAGAGTGGAACGATCACATCTCTCTGCAGCCTCAACCTCCCAGTATCAAGTGAACCTCCCACCTCAGCCTCCTGAGCAGCTGGGACAACAGCCACATGCCACCACACGCAGCTAATTTTTATTATTACTTGTAGAGACAAGGTCTCACTATATTGCCCAGGGTGGTCTTGAACTCCTGGAGGCTCAAGCAATCCTCCCACCTCAAGCTGCCAAAGTATTGGGATTGGAAGGATGAGCCACTGAACTCAGCAATTTTCAGCATTCTTAAAGAAAAGATAATTCCAAGCAAGAATTTCTATCTTGCCAACTAAGCTCCATAAGCAAAGGAGAAAAAAGATTTTTTTTTCTGACAAGCAAGCACTAAGGGGACTTGTTACCACTAGACTAGCCTTACAAGAGATTCTTAAGTGAATTCTAAACATGAAAATGAAAGAACAGTATCTGCTACCACAAAATCACACTTAAGTACATAGCTCACAGACCCTATAAAGCAACTAGACAATGAAGACTATAAAGCATCCAACTAACAACTTCACAAGAGGATCAAAGCCTCACATATCAATGTTAACCTTGAATTTAAATGATCTAAATGCCCCACTTAAAAGGTATAGAGCTGAAAGTTGGGTAAAAAAATAAGACCCTTCTAGATGGGTCTCTTGAAGAAACCCATCTCACACATAACAACACCCATCGGATCAAAGTAAAGTGTTGGAGAAAAACAAATCACACAAATATTTAGAAAACAAAATAGAGCAAAAGTTTCTGTTTTTATATCAGAAATAACAGACTTTAAACCAACAACAGCAAAAAATGACAAAGAAGGGCATTACATAACAACAAAGGGTTCAATTCAAGTTAAGTCAAGAAGAGTTAACTACTTTAAATATATATACCCAACATTGGAACACCAGATTCTTAAAGCAACTACTTCTAGACCTACAGAAAGACTTAGACACCAAGAAAATAATAGTGCAGAACTTCAACCCCTCACTGATGCTCTTAGACAGATCAATTGAGGCAGACAACTAACAAAGAACTTCTGGACCTAAATTTGACACTTGACCATTGGATCTAATAAACATCTACAGAATGTTTCACCCATTAAACACATTTGTCTCAATAGTACACAGAACATACTCTAAAACTGACCACATGCTCAACCATAAAGCAAGTCTCAATAAATTTAAAAAAAGTGAAATCATACCAACCATATTCTCAGAATACAGTGGAATAAATATTAAAATCAATATCAAGAAGATCCCTCAAAACCACAAAATTACATAGGAATTTAACAAATTGCTCATAAATCACTTTTGGATAAACAATGAAATTAAGTCAGACATCAAATTATTCTTTGAAACAAATGAAAACAGAGGCAAAACATATCAAAATCTCTGGGATGCAGCAAAAGCAGTGTTAAGAGGAAAGTTTATAGGGCTAACACACCAACCTCAAAAAATTAGAAAAATTTCAAATTAATGATTTAACATCACGCCTAGAGTAACTAGAAAACACAAGAACAAATTGACCCCAAAGCTAGCACACACACACACACAAAATAACTAAAATCAGAGCAGAACTGAATGAAATTCAGATCCAAAAATCCATACAAAGAATTGACAAAACCCAAGTTAATTCCTGAAAAGGATAAACAAGGCTGATAGACTTCCAGCTAGATTAATAAAAGAGAAAAAGAGAGAAGGTCCAAATAAGCACAATCAAAAATGACAAAGGTGACATTACAACTAATACCACAAAAATACAAAAGATCCTCAGAGACTATTATGAACACATCTGTGCACACAAACTAGAAAATCTAGAGGAAATGGATAAATTTCTGGAAACACACATCTCAAGATTGAATCAGGAAGAAATTGAAACCTTGAAGCAACTGATATTAAGTTCTGAAGTTTAATCATTAATAAAAAACCTACAAACACAAAAAAGCCTCAAACAAAATGGACTCACAGCCGAATTCTACCACGTGTACAAAGAAGAACTGATACCAATTCAAGTGAAACTATTCTAAAAAATTGAGGAAGAGAGACTCTTCACTATCTCATTCAATGAAGCCAACATCACCCTGATACCAAAACCTGGAAAAGACACAACAACAAAAAAAAGAAAACTACAGGCCAATACCTCTGGTGAACATAGACAAAAATATCCTCTACACAATACTAGCAAACTGAATCCTGCAGCACATAAAAAAGTTAATTCACCACAATTAAGTAGGCTTCATGCCTGGTATGCAAGTTTGGTTCAACATACACAAATCAATAAATGTGACTCACCACAAAAGCAGAATTGAAACCCGAAACCATATCATCATCTTAACAGACACAGAAAAAGCCTCCAATAAAATCCAGCATCCCTTCATGACAAGAACTGTCAACAAAATAGGCATCAAAGGAACATATCTCAAAATAGTAAGAGTCATCTATGACAAACCCACAGCCAACATTATATTGAAGGGGCAAAAGCTGGAAGCATTCCCCTTGAGAACTGTTAACAAGACAAGTATATCTCTTCTTACCACTCCTGTTCAACATAGTACTGGAAGTCCTTGCCAGAGCAATTAACTGAAAGAAATGAAGAGCATTCTAATAGAAAAAGAAGCCAAGCTACCTCTTTTCACTGATGATATGACTTTATACCTAGAAAACCATAAAGACTAAGCCAAAGGGCTCCTGGAACTGACAGACAACTTCAGTAAAGTTTCAGGATACAAAATCAATGTACAAAACTGAGTAGCATTTCTGTACACCAATAATGCTCAAGCTGAGAGTATAATCAAGAATGCAATGCAATTTACAATAGCCACAGACAAAATGTAAAATGCCTAGGAATGTATCTAACCAAGGAGGTGAAAGATTTCTGCAAGGAGAAAAACAAAACACTGCAAACATATCATAGATGGAAAACACCGAAAAAAATCATAGTGACACGAACAAATGGAAAACTAGTCCAGGCTCATGAAATGGAAGACTCAATATTATTAAAATGGCCATACTGGCCAAAGCAATCTAGAGATTCAACACTATTTCTATCAAACTACAAATTTCAGTTTTCACAGAGTTAGAAAAACATCCTAAAATTTATATGGAATAAAAAGAAAGAGCCAAAATAGCAAAAGCAATCCAAGCAAAAACAACAAAACTGGAGGCATCACATTACTTAAGTTCAAACTATACTATAAGGCTATACAGTAACCAAAATAACACAATAGTGGTACAAAAACAAACCCACAGACCAACGGAAAATAACAAAGAACCCTGAAATAAAGCTGCATTTATACAGCCATCTGATCTTCAACAAAGTTGACAAAAATAAACAATGGGGAAAAGATTCCCTATTCAATAAATTGTACAGTGATAGCTGGCTAACCATATGCAGAAGAATAAAACTGGACCCCTACCTTTCACCATATACAAAAATAAGATGAATTAAAGATTTAAATGTAAGACCTCAAATCATAAGAATCCTAGAAGAAAATCTAGTAAACACTATTCTGGACATTGGTCTCAGGAAAAAATTTATGACTAAGTCCTCAAAAGCCATTGCAACAAAATCAAAATTGAAAGTGTGACCTAATTAAACTAAAGAGCTTCTGCATAACAGAAGAAATTATCAATATAGTAAACAGACAACCTACAGAATGGGAGAAAATATTTGCAAACTATGCACCCAACAAAAGTCTAATATCCAGAATCTATAAGGAACTTAAACAACACAACAAGACAAAAACAACCCCATTAAAAAGTAAGCAAATGGCATGAACAGACACTTCTCAAAAAAGACGAAGAAGTGGACAAGAAACATGAAAAAATGCTCAGTATCACTAATTATCAAAGAAATGCAAATTAAAACCACAATGAGATACCATCTTACACCAATCAGAATGGCTATTATTAAAAAGTCAAAAATTGACAGATGCTGGTGATGCTGTGGAGAAGAGGGAACACATATGCTGTTGGTGGGGATATAAATTAGTTCAGCCACTGTGAAAAGCAGTTTGGGGGTTTCTCAATAACTTAAAATGGAACCACCATTTGACCCAACAACTCCATTATGGAGTATATATCCAAAAGAAAATCTATTATTCTACCACAAAAACATATGCACTTGTATCTTCATTCCAAGACTATTCACAATAGCAAAGACAAGGAATCAATCTAGATACCTATCAAAAATCGATTTGATAAGGAAAATATGGTACATATACATTGTGGAATACCACACAGCCATTAAAAAATAATAAAATCATGTCCTTTGCAGCAACATGGGTGGAACTGGAGGCCATTATCCTAAGCTAATTGTACAGGAATAGAAAACTGAATACCATATGTTCTCTCTTATAAATAGGAGCTAAATATTTGGTTCTCATGGACATAAAGATGGCAACAGTAGACACTGAGGACTAATAGAGGTCGAAAGTAGTGAAGGTGGCAAGGGTTGAAAACCTAACTGTTGGAAACTATGCTCACTATCAGGGTGATGGGATCATTTGTATCCCCAACCTCAGCATCATACTCATATAACAAACCTGCACATGTTCTCCAGAATCTAAAATAAAATTGGAAACTATTAAATAAATAAATAAAATTGTTATTTTCTATGGGAAAAAAGAAACTAAAAGAAACAAAAGTCTTCTGGAGAAGGTGATAAAGGACCAAGGCAAGGGAGAGCTGATACACATTTTATTGGAGTCCCCAGGAAAGAAAACTGAAGCAATGAAACAATATTTAAAACTATATTTCAAGGAAATGTTGCTGTCATAAAAGACTTGAAAAAAAAGCCATATATATGTGCATTTTAATATTTTGAGAGGGCATTCTCTAATTTGAAAAGTTGACTTAAAATGTTCAATACTGACAAATATTTTAATACAATAATTGGGCTATAAAATATAAGGAAAATATTCTTTGAACATAACAAAAAGTCCATTCTGTATGTCAAAGAAATGCAAACAAGAATCATATTATCATCAGCATTCTTTAAGTAGTATTTTAACTGAGGCAACATTCTCATGGAGAAATTTGAGTGAAGGATTTTATCTTTAGCTAAACTATTCTTCAAGTATAAAGGCCACAGGCAACCAGTTATGAACATGCAGGAATCTATCACAGACCACATTTCAGGAAACTACAAAATTGTCATGAAACCTTCAGCATAAATTTAGAGGTCAATATTAAATGTAGGTAACTGAAGAACTAAAATTAAAAGATGGAAGACAAAGCTATAAGTGCTACGTGCTCTGACAATGTAGAAATAATTCAACTATTAAATTCAGTTTAGCTTAAAGCCGCCTCCTTACATATTTTAAATTTAGCCTAAAGGTTTCTCTCTACATAATGAACTGAAACCTAACCGGATGGTAAATAGATTGTAACCTACTCTTTTACCAATCACCAAGTTTCAGCCAATCAAACATGGTCCAACTGCTGAAAGCAGGTTCAAATAAGGCAAACACCAAGTTGTCACCAATCCAACTGTTTCTGTATTTCACTTCTATTTTGTCTACATCACTCTCTTTTTTCTGTCTATAAACCCTTTCTAACCATAGACAAGCACCAGAGTTGCTCTAAACCCATTCTAATTGAGGGCCAGTAGGGAGGGCGGGTGTGTGTGCCTTATTTGCAAATTGTTCTTTACTCAGTTAAATTTTGCTAAATTTAATTTGTCGAAAGTGTTTCTTTTAACACAACTAACTGAAAATGGGAGAATAGAAAGACAGTAGGTATAAAATAGAATAAGGTCTTTGATTGCCTCTGGTTATTATGTGAGAATAAAATGATATAACTTGAAACTGAAAAAGCAAGTGACAGATGTTTATTTCCGATCATAAGTATAAAACCCTGAGCAACAATTAGTAGACAGAGGGGAGGGAGAGGAAAATAAATAATTAATAACTAATTTTACTACAGCTTATATTAGCAAACTAACAGATAATATCTAAATATCTAAGTAAAGAGATAGCTAAAGGTGTTATATTATAAAGGTATTCATTTAGTGATAATCACTAGAACAAAAATATACACTGTATTAGTCTGTTCGCATGCTGCTAATAAAGACATACCCAAGACTGGGTAATTTATTAAGGAAAGAGGTTGAATTGACTCACAGTTCTGCATGGCTGGGGAGTCCTCACAATCATGGCAGAAGGTGAATGAGGAGCAAAGTCACGCCTTATGTGGCAGCAGGCAAGAGAGCATGTTTAGGGGAACTTGCCTTTATAAAACCATCAGATCTCATAAGACTTATTCACCATCATGAGAACAGCATGGGAAAGATCTGCCCCCATGATTTAATTACCTTCCACCAGGTCCCTCTTATGACATGTGAGAATTATAGGAGCTACAATTCAAGATGAGATTTGGGTGGGGACAGACCCAAACCGTATCATATATCTTCCTAAATACTAGAGAGTGAGAAAATAAAGTAGCTCATCTAGCGAAAAACTTACTGGGTATATATAAAATATGCATTTATATAATACACAAAGTATAAAGCAATATGACAAACCAGAAACAAATAAATCATATTCATACATATAAATGGATTTCAATCATCTATGCAGAAATAATGTTGTTAGACAAGTTAAAGAAATCCAACTCAGTGCTATATACAGAAACATACATCAAATAAAATAATTCAGAAATGTTTAAAAACTAAAAAGCTTTTTATAATTGAAAATACATAAAAACAGCTAGACAGACACACACTAGTATATATTAAACGACCCTTGGGACAATGAAGAATACAAAACAAAATTTTCTAGAAATCTAGAAAACAATAATGAAAGCAAAACACATTAGAATCTGTGAGATACAGCTTTAAAAAAATTCTTCAGGTGAAAATTCCTAGCATTAAATACAATTTTAAAAATAAGAAAGCTAAACATATAATTCAAAAAGCTAGATGTAGAATAGCAAACTATAACACAAGACAGCAGAAAGAAGCGATTAATACATATAAAGGAATTTAATGTCAGTAAACAAAAATAATCAGTAAATAAATAAATAAATTATGGGGAATAAATCAACCAAACACATAAAACAGTACCTGACCTAATTTTTTAAGAGGTGAAATGAAGAATGTATAAAATAATAAGTGACAAAAAAGATATAACTATTGACGCATACTGTGTATACCATAAGTGAAACAAATCCCATTAAAGACAGAACTTACAGACAGGCCAGTTTCCATCAAAGTAATTAAGGATGATTGTAAAATCTCTCCTACCAAAACACTCCAGGCCTGGATGATGTTGATATGGAAGCGGGTGCAGGGAAGTCCTGGGTAGAGAAGGGCAGAGTCCCTGGCAAGGGCTCCACACTGGGGCCTGTGCCCACGGACCCAGGTGAGGACAGGCACTCCTGTTTTTGCGCCCATGTGTTGCATTTTCCAAGGCCACTCTGGCCCAGCATGCCCCCAATCCTGTGCCTGTAAAAACCCTGAGACCCTGGCGGGCACACACACGAGCAGCTGCATGTCAAGAGGAACACACCAGCAGAAGAATGCATTGACAGACTCCGGCAGACCATCAATGGCAGAATGACACAAACGATGTGGAATTCAGCCAGGGGTGGTCGGAGGAGTGTTTGGCCACGGAGTGGCCCAACTCCAGGGGAAGACCACCTTCACACTCCATCCCCATTCTGGCTCCCATCCATCTGCCGAGAGCTATTTCCACCACTCAATAAAACCTTGTACTCATTCTCCACGCCCATGTGTGATCCAATTTTTCTAGTACATTAGGGCAAGAACCCCAGGATACAGAAAGCTCCTCTGTCCTTGTGATAAGGCAGAGAGTCTAAGTGAGCTGATTAACACAAGCCGCCTGCAGATGGCTAAGCTGAAAGAGCACACTGTAACACATACCCACTGAGGTAGGTGTTTCAGGAAGTGTAAACACTCAACCCTAGATACTGCTGGGAGTTCAGAGCCCACTCTCCCCATGACCTGCCCATCTGCATGCTCCTCCTAAGTATTTTTTGGTTGTTGTTGTTGTTGTTATTGTTGTTTTGAGACAAAGTCTCGCTCTGTAGCCCAGGCTAGAGTGCAGTGGTGCTATCTTGGCTCACTGCAACCTCCGCCTCTGGTTCAAGCTATTCTCCTGCCTCCTGCCTACTCCTCCCAAGTATCTGGAATTACAGGCGCACGCCACTGCACCTAGCTAATTTTTTGTATTTTGTAGTAGAGATGGGGTTTCACCTTGTTGGCCAGGCTGGTCTTGAACTCCCAACTTCAGGTAATCTGCCCACCTCGGCCTCCCAAAGTGCTAGGATTACAGGCATGAGCCACCGTGCCCGGCCAGGAACAGGCTTTCTGAAGCTTGTAAGGCCAGTAAAGAGCCTAATTCTAAGTATAAAGATTTTCTTCTATAGACTTCAGAGCTAAACTCTGGTTAAAACCAGTTCCCCAGTGCTTCTCAAACTTTCCACTTAAGGTACCCCTGGTAATTGACAAGAATGAAAACCTGCCCCTAGAAAATCAAGGACAGGGCCATGACACTGACAACAAAATCAAAATGACTCTAAAATCTGACTCATCTTAATCATTGGCATACTATTTAAATTCCATTCTATTCCATTTGGAAGTCTATCTTAATCATAAGTCATATTTTTAGTTTCTAAACCTAGAAAAAGTTCTTGGTTTATGCTGTGGCTCCTCACACTTTCCTAAACATCCCCTGGCACATCTCCCAGGGTTCCTCAGGGTGGACCCTGATGACCAGTTGAGAAACAAGACCAGGCCACTCACAAGCTGGCAGAATCCTATGGGGACCTAGAAGATAAAAAATAGAGGAACTCAGAAGCAAATTTGTAAGTGAAATTATCCCTGTTTTCTTTAGTCATGGTCCTCTCCTGGAAAAAATATGAGAAATTTTCTCTCAGCTTCCATTTAGACATGATGGATACTGCTATGAAGACCAATAATATCTCCCATATTCACAAAAAAATCTCCTATGCTTACAAGGCTTGTTCTCACAAACAAATCCAATTCGAGTGTTTGATTAGAATTAGAAGAAAATACAAGTTCCAAGGGGTGAAAATCACAATGTCTTTATCCTTACCCACCCTATTGTGCTTCATCTCCCTCTTCAAACATAGAGAATCCAATGAAAAAAACTCTCTCCTGGAGTGCTGCTGGACCCTTAAAGTATTTTGAATCCTTTTGTCTGATTACATTCCACCAATGACTACTTGAAGCTAAGCATTTGTGAATCAGCTGAGAACATCTCATCATGAAGGGCCATGCCCAGCTAACATTGAATAGTGTCTGGTTGTCTCTGCATTCCAGTTTTTTGTCTATAAAGATTTTGGAAAAATTATCTGTACCTTCCTTTCCTCAACTGGTCACATCTGTGCTATAGAGATTCCACCCTTAACTCCTCCTCCATCCCACCTCTGAGCAAGCACATAGCACACCTGGTTCAGGTAACAGAGATGGGCACATGGTCCTGGTTAGCTCAATCACAGTACCCCAACCGCTAATTATAGTGATTGGTCCAAGAAGAGATAACTTGGCCAATTCCAGAGTCCTTCCCCAGAATTTTTCAAGTAGAAGCTGAGAGAGAGATATTCTGTTTCCTCGGTGGTTTCTAAGCTGTTAGACTACAGTTCCGCTGGCCATGATCTACGCTGCAAGGAAAAGGTTACTCAATAATAGAAAAAATTAGGCTAACAAACAGAGATGAGAGATAGGCAGAGATGTACCTGGTGATTTTCAAGACTCCAGTTTTATTTTCTGATGTAAATGTTTTCCATAGTACTTTCTTGAGTTATACAAGCTACTCATAGCCCTTCCAATAAATCCCATTTTTGCTTTAGGTAGATTAAATTGGGTTTCTGTCACCAAAAATATCCTGATGGATATATCTATTACTCTTTAGTGATTTGACTGCTTCTAGAACTCTGGAGAACAGAAAGTGTGTGTGTTCTCACTATTCTTCATTGTTAAATGTATACTCAATGCACCCTCCTGGGGGAGAAGTAGAGGCTAATAAAGATGAGATTAATAATAATAGCCATTATCATTTGTTGAGAACTGACTGTGTATGAGGCTCTATGCTAAGCACTTTCATGCATTGGATCTTTTAAATCCTCACAACTCCATCAAGTAAGTAATACCACTTACATTTTACAAACAAGGAAACTGAGGTTTTGAGTTTCTTGAACTCAAATTACTCAAATTCACAGAATTCATAAACAGTAGAGGAGAATTAGAAGGCAAATCTTTCTCACTCCAGAACTTGGGTATTTAGCTACTACTTTATACTGTACTCAAGGTAGCTGGGTAACATAGACAAAATGCTTCCATCATTTTATTGTTTCAAATTGTGCATATAAAGAAGCTTCCGCAGTTTTGTATAGATATTTTAGTAGCTTCCAGAAAGGAAAACTACATGAGTTGAGTTGGCACTTTAGCTGCTTAATCATGTTTGCTTTAATGTCTACTAAAAAATAAAAGCAAGATCTTACCTTGCCCAGAGGATGTTCCAGGTTTTTGCGGGTCAATATAAATTCAGGTAAAATAGAAAGAAAATTCAAAAGGCCAAATTCTTGTTCACAGGCCAAATTCTTGCCCCATTTAGAAGAACTATTGAAATTAAATATTAAAATCTTGAAGTACCATTATATTATTCAAAGTCTGTTTTTCTGCCGTCTACTTTCAGAAAAATGAATCTCAAGAGAATAAGGAACATTTGGCTAAGTATTTTTTTCTACCAAGTATTGGGAGTAATCAGAGTGGCTTTAAGCCAAACAGATAACATTGCTCTGAGAGAATTGTCCTGAAACCATTCAAATGATTTACTGTGCTTTAAGTCCTACAAACTTACATCAAGTTAAATTAAACGAATGAGATAAAATGGAGACATCTGTCTATATATTCAGGGTGTATATGCCGATGTTTGTATACAACATATATAATGCTACTACATCACTTTACCCTTTTTGTCACAGACAATAACTCAAGCTTTATGCCAGCTTTATGCCAGCCAAGGGGATCATAACTGGCAGACCTCAGTATATTTTACACTGCATTAGTGCATTGCTTCAGCCAGCTAACGATCCTTACTTTTCAACCCATCTCTTTCATTAGTGAATCTGAATTTACAGGCAACCTCTTTCTCCTAATGCACAGAGCAGCTTCCCTGGCCCCTATGGCATATTGTGGCTTCACACCTAAATCAGTCACAGTTCTAGGACTTTCAGGATTTGGAAACTAATCCATTTAACTTTTCAGTAGGAACAATAGTTTCTTTCTGAGAAATGAGCTATTTAATTAGAGCCTTTCTCTTCCTACCTCATTCCTAACACATCAGTTCTAATGAATTGTCTAAAATCTGTTTTCCCTATTAGACTGTAAACCACAGGAGAGAAAGAATGAAGCCAATCTTGTTCGCAGAATCTAGCCCATGCCTGGTACATGTAAATACTTAATAAACATTTGATGTAGCTTTTATTGTTATGTAATCATAAAAAAGGCCATGCTGGATCACATTAGTGGTCCATTCATAAATACATCTGTGGTACGATTGTCCTATCAACAACTGTTTATTTAGTGTCTACTATGTGTGGGGTACCATGCTGGGGGAAACAAAAATAAGTAAGACCATCTCTGCCTACAAGTTGCTTACGATTTCAGAAGGAGCGATGAGACAATTTCAATAGGTATAATCCAAGATGAATAACTTAGGTGCTATGAAAGAAGTACCAAGAAAGTGCTACAGGAATTAAAAAACATCTTATTGTCAGAATCTGGAAAGGAGAAGGTAGCTTTTAGATGGAACATGGAGGATGGTTGGAATTCTCAAGAGAATGGAAAGAAAGGAAGCAAAAAACTCAAGGGCACAGCAGGAACACAGACCAGAAAGTGTGAGATCTTTTCAGGGCAGTCTACTTGTGACTCCAGTGTACCAATAGCTTTGGTTATATGCAGAAGCCGTGGTGATAGTGCAACGTCTAAGCTGGTCTTACATATGGGAGCCTTGCATATCAAGGCAAGGAAGGAGGAGCTGGGGCTTAATTCAGATACACAGAACACCCTTCATGGCAATGGCCCATAGGAGACCATAGTCATTTTCAACATTTGGCTATACATAGATGTCTCTGATTCCCTTCAATGACTCCCTTCAGTGACTTTTTTTTTTTTTCTCAAAGCCAAACACCGCTAGTCCCTATGCTGCCCCTGGTAGCAACTTGATTGCTTTTTTTTTTTTTTTTCAAACTTGCCAATAATTTTCAAATCCTGGATTCTTTACATAAATTGTAAAACAATTCTATTTTTTCTTTTTTAATTTCTGTGCTAGTCTTTTCTTTAGGGAAGAGAGGAGTTCACTCGTGAGTCAGGCGCAGAGCTCAAAGTCTTATAAATTATATTTGTCTCATTAAATTTTCACAACATGCAAATCACTTGGATACTATTATCACTCCCATTTTAGAGATTTGCAAAGTAACGTCATTGAGCTGTTAAGAATCGGAGATGGATTCAAATTCAAGTGCCTGATTTGGAAGGCGAACTTTTAACCACTCACCATACCATACTGATTCTTTTAAAGAGTTCATTTCTAACAGCATACAGTCAAAATGTGGTTTTTTTCTGTCATTAGTTTTCAATGTCTTTACAATTACCTCCACAAATGTATAGGATTTATTTGACTACATGAGGAGAGAAAGTCTAACTGCAAATGATCTGGCTCATTCTGCCTAGACAGGAGAAGATGCCACACTGGCACTGCTCTTCACACTATCAAACATTATTTTTAAGTCTGGGATATTTTCCAAATCTGAAATGCTGCCTTTATTTTCCCCAAACCAAATAATAACTGCCTTGCTTCCAACAAAAATAGAATGACAGAATTATGTTTGCTTCTGGTTTTTATTTTTCCAGATGATATCAGAAAACACAGAGGGAAACAATATTCTCAGAGTCTTAGGCAAAAGTGCTAGATAATACATTTTTGAACAGTAGTGAAAACATAGCCCTGGTAAATAAATATATATTGATTTGGTTGATTTATTCATTCTTTATGTACTAGAAACAGTTACCTATAAAAGGTAATAACTGACTGGAACATAACATCTGGTTTGATGTATTCCCTCAGTCACTGAAATTACAGAGAAATCCAATGCTGAAATAAACTTTTGGAAACAAATTACTTTTATTACAATAATGCTCTCAGCTGCAAAAGCAAATGCTACTCAGTTTAAATTATAATATAAAATCTAAATATTCATTATTTTAAAGACAGTAGATTTGTCACAAGATAGGTTTGTAAATCAAGAATTCTAAATGGCAAGGGATATTCTTGGTCTCTGGTGGCAAAATTTATAGGAGCATCAATTTAGCCTCATATGTTTGAGTTTACATACGGTTGGTCATGGACGTATAAACATTCATTTGGAGAAAATCTAATGGTAAATTTTCAGAACACATTATTCAGAGAAGGTAAAAATCTACTTTTATATCGAAGTCCAGAGTCAACACACTCATAGGAAACAGTAAGAAATGATGGATAAAATTATGCAATAGCAAGCTAGCAGAGTGGGGAAAAGCACGGTTTTTCAGGGCTCTGACCAAGGGAATGAGCTGTAGTGCCCTTGCCCGGCAGGTGTAATCACAAAGCTCACTATCTAGTCAAGCACAGAAAATGTCTCAATAGATATTATTATTAAATAAAACAGATGTCAACACACATCCTCATCCATCAATTTGGCTAAACATGGCTTGAGCCCCCTTGATACAACTGAAGTTAATCCCAACCCTCTCCACATTTCTGTGAGTTTCATTTCATGCTTTTCTACACTTCTTTCTTTCCGAGGATATTTTATTGTTATTCACAGTCTTCTTTCAGTTGAATGCTTAGTTTCTGAATTTTCAGTTTTTCTTGTTTTCATATATGTGTTTTAAATCTATAAAGATCCTCCACAAATACCTTTCCAGCTACATTCTCATTTAAGCTGCGTTCTCATTTCTAGTCCGTGTTAAATATTTCATAACTTCCATTAAGCTTTCTTCTTTAACCCATTAAGTATTTAGAATTGTGTTCCTCAGTTTCCAATATTTGGCTCTGGGGGAAGTTATTACTTGGGCTATTTTTAAAAATTAATTTCTGATTTATTACATTGTGTTTAAAAATTGTTATTAGTGTAATATGCTTTGGAATTTGTTGAGACTTCCTTTATTGCCTAGAATGTTACCAATTTTTCAACACCTGTTTTATGTTTGCTTAAAAAGATGTGAATTTTCTTTTTGTGTTTTTAAATTATACCTTAAGTTCTAGGGTACATGTGCACAATGTGCAGGTTTGATACATAGGTATAAATGTGCCATGTTGGTGTGCTGCACCCATCAACTCATCATTTACATTAGGTATTTCTACTAATGCTATCCCTCCCCATGCCCCCCACCCCCTGACAGACCGTGTTATGTGATGTTCCCTGCCCTGTGTCTAAGTGATCTCATTGTTCAATTCCCATCTATGAGTGAGAACATGTGGTGTTTGTTTTTCTGTCCTTGTGATAGTTTGCTGAGAATGATGGTTTCCAGCTTCATCCATGTCCCTGCAAAGGACATGAACTCATCCTTTTTTATG
Organism: Homo sapiens; assembly: GCF_000001405.40. NCBI lineage: Eukaryota > Metazoa > Chordata > Mammalia > Primates > Hominidae > Homo > Homo sapiens. The sequence continues at coordinate 90,035,056 of NC_000010.11, read as the reverse complement.
GCTGCATAGTATTCCGTGGTGTATATGTGACACATTTTCTTAATCCAGTCTATCATTGATGGACATTTGGGTTGATTCCAAGTCTTTGCTATTGTGAATAGTGCTGCAGTAAACATACGCGTGTGTGTGTCCATATGTTGGGTTCAGGGTTCGGTATGTTTATTATTAAATAATAATTGTTAATTATGTTATTCAAAACTTCTATAGCCTTTAGTTTTGGTCTCTCAATTTCAAAATCTCCTACTTAGTATCTATATTAATTTCTTCTTACGGTTTTACTATATGTTGATTTTTAAATTTTTAAGGTGTATTTTCAATGAATACAAAACCACTGTTGTTGAATAAGCCATGTAATATTTTCTACTACTTCAGTCTTGTGCTGTTTTTAACTTCAGAAATGGTTTAAATTATTTTCTGACTCAGAATCATGTATTGCATTTAGTTGGTTTTTTTTTTTTTTTTTTTTTTTTTTTTTAGACTTAGTCTCACTCAGTTGCCCAGGCTAGAGTGCAGTGGTGCGATCTCGGCTCACTGCAAGCTCCGCCTCCTGGGTTCACGCCATTTTCCTGCCTCAGCCTCCCAAGTAGCTGGGACTACAGGCGCCCACCACTACGCCCGGCTAATTTTTTTGTATTTTTAGTAGAGACGGGGTTTCACCATGTTAGCCAGGATGGTCTCGATCTCCTGACCTCGTGATCCGCCCGTCTAGGCCTCCCAAAGTGCTAGGATTACAGGCGTGAGCCACTGCGCCCAGCCTGGTTTGTGTTTTTAATCAGAAGTCCCGCAGTCTTTTTTGTTTTTTATAATGATATTAGGAGTACCAATCAGCTGTTTTGCAGAAGGTGCCAAAGTAAGGGTCTGTCTGATGTTTCCTCATGATCATATTCAGTTTACATATTTTTGGCAAAAATGCTACAAAAATTATGTTATGTCCTCTTCAGTACATCATGTTAAGGGTTCATGATATTGGGTTGTTCCATTACCTGTAATGTTAACTTTAATTGCATGGTTAAGATGATATATGCCAGTATTCTCCTCCTAAAGTTACTATTTTTCTCTGTAGTTACTAAGTATTTTGTAGGGAGATACTAGGGTATGTGTGGAGGTAGGGGGAGGTATTAACAAACGTTCCCTTACTGGTTTTAGCATCCTGTGATAATGCAATCCTGAATCATTTATGTTTCTGGTGCTTTCTAAATATATATTTTTGATGTATGAAAAGTTTATTGGCATTCAATACTTACCTATATTTCTTTAGAATATAATGGATTGAAGAAAAATAGCCAAAGAGATTGAATAACAATTAAGAAAGTAAGACTTACAAAGGACCAATAACTTCACCAAAAAATTCTAGCTCTCTCCTAATTGAAAACGTCCAAATTAAAACAATGAAGCATATGTTTTCATCAAGCAAATTTGCAAAGAAAAAGAATAATAACATTCTGTGGCAGGATTTTCAAAAACAGAAAATCTTTGTGTTTTTATACTTTCATAACTACATCTTTACTGCTACAGCTATAACATAGATAAAAACTTTTTGGAGGCAATTTGGCAGTATCAAAATATTTTTCCCTTTCAACTTTTATTTTAGATTTAAGGGGTACACGTGCAGGTTTGTTACATGGGTATATCACCTGATGCTGGTGTTTGGTTTAGCAATGCTCTCATCACCCAGGTACTGAGCATAATGCCCAATAGTTTTTCAACCTTTGACTCCTTTCCTCCCTCTGCCTCTAGACGTCCCCAGTATCTATTTATTAGTGCATCTTTATGTCCATAAGTACCCAATGTTTAGCTCCCACTTATGAGTGAGAATATGCAGTATTTGGTGTTTTGTTCCTGAAGTTATTTGCATAGGATAATTAATGTTACCCTAATGTCATCCAATGTTATCCATGTTGCTGCAAAGAACATGATTTTTTATGGCTATGTAGTATTCCATGGTTTATATGTTCCACATTTTCTTCATCCAACTGAACATTGATGAGTACCTAGATTGATCCCATGTCTTTGATATTGTGAATAGTGCCGCAATGAACATACAAATGCATGTTGTAGAATAATTTGTTTTATTCTGGATATATACCCAGTAATGGGATTGCTGGGTCGAATGGTAGTTCTAAGTTCTTTGAGAAATCTTCAAACTGCTTTCCACAGTGGCTGAACTAACTTACATTCCACCAGCAGTGTATAAGAGTTCAGAAATCTTCAAACTGCTTTCCACAGTGGCTGAACTAACTTAACATTCCACCAGCAGTGTATAAGAGTTCCCTTTTTTTCCACAGCCTTGCCAGCATCTGTTGTTTTTTGGCTTTTTGCTAGTAGCCATTCTATCTGGTATAAGATGGTATCTCATTGTGGTTTTGATTTACATTTCTCTGATGACTGGTGATGCTGAGCATTTTTCATATGTTTGTCAGCTACTTGTATGTCTTCTTTTGGTAAGTGTCTGTGCATATCTTTCACCCATTTTTAATGGGGTTATTTGTTTTGGGCTTGTATTGTTTAACTTCCTTATAGATTCTGGGTATTGGACCTTTGTTGGATGCATGCTTCCCAAATATTTTCTCTCATTCTATAGGTTGTCTCTTTATTCTGTTGATAATTTCTTTTGCTGTGCAGAAGCTCTTTAGTTTAATTGGGTTACTTGTCAACTTTTGTTTTTGTTGCAGTTGCCTTTGAGGACTTAGTCATAAATTTTTTGCCAAGCCCAAAGTCCAGACCTAGGTTTTATTCTAGGGTTCTTACAGTTTGAGGTCTTACATTTAAATCTTTAATCCATCTTGAGTTAACTTTGTATAAAGTGAAAGGTGGGGTCCCCGTTTCATTCTTCTGCATATGGCTAGCCAGCTATCCCAGCACTGTTTATTGAATAAGGAGTCCTTCCCCCTTGCTTATTTTTGTCAACTTTATCAAAGATCATATGGCTGTATATTTGTGGTTTTATTTCTGTGTTCTCTATTCTCTTCCATTGGTCTATGTGTTGTCTGTTTTTATAACAGTGTCATGTTATTTTGGTTATTGTAGCCTTACTGGTTAGTTTGAAGTTGGGTAATGTGATGCCTCCGGCTTTATTATTTTTGCTTAAGAATGCTTTGGCTATTTAGGCTTTTTATTGGTTCCATATGAATTTCAGAATAGCTTTTTCTAATTCTGTGAAAAATAACATTTGTAATTTAATAGGAATGGCATTGAATATGTAGACTGCTTTAGGCAAGATGGCCATTTTAATGAAATTAATTCTTTCTATATGAGCCATGGAATGTTTTTTGTTGTTGTTGTTGTGTGTCATCTATGATTTATTTCAGCAGTGTTTTGTAGTTCTCCTTGTAGAAATCTTTCACTTCCTTTGTTAGAGATATTCCTTGGTGTGAGTGTGTGTGTGTGTATGTGTGTCTATTGTAAATGAGACTGTGTTCTTGATTTGGCTCTCAGATTGAGCATTATTAGTGTATAGAAATGCTACTGATTCTTGTACATTGATTTGGTATCCTGAAACTTTACTGAAGTTGTTTATCAGTTCCAGCGGATTTCTAAGTATAGAATTATATTATCAGGCCGGACATGGTGGCTCACACCTGTAATTCCAGCAGTTTGGGAGGCCAAGGTGGACAGATCACGAGGTCAGGAAATCGAGACCATCCTGGCCAACATGGTGAAACCCCATCTCTACTAAAAACACAAAAGTTATGCATGCTGGGCATGGTGGCATGCACCTGTAGTCCCAGGTACTTGGGAGGCTGATGAAAATAATCATTTGAACCCAGAAGGCAGAAGTTGCAGTGAGCCGAGATTGCACTACTGCACTCAGCCTGGCGACAGAGCGAGACTCTATCTCCAAAAAAAAAGAATTATATTATCAGTGAAAAGAGATAGTTCAACTTCTTCTTTTCCTATTTTAGATGCCTTTTATTTATTTCTCTTGCCTGATTGCTCTGGCTGGCACTTCTAGTATTAAGTTAAATAGGAGGGGTGAGACTGGGCATCATTTTCTTGTTACAGTTCTCAAGGGGGATGCTTCCAACTTTTGCCCCATTAGCATCACATTGGCTGTGGGTTTGTCGTAGATAGCTGTAATTATTTTGAGGTATGCTCCTTTGATACATAGTCTCTTGAGGGTTTTTATCATAAAGAGATGTTGGATTTTTTCAAAATATTTTTCTGTGTCTATTGAGATGATCATATGGTTTTGGCTTTTAAGTCTGTTTATGTGGTGAATCATATTTATTGTGTATGTTGAGCCAATCTTGTATCCCAGGAATGAAGCCTACTTGATTGTGGTGAACTAACTTTTTTTTTTTTTTTTTTTTTTTGAGACAGAGTCTTGCTTTGTCACCAGGCTGGAGTGCAGTGGCACCATCTCGGCTCACTGTGACCTCCACCTCCTGGGTTCAAGCAATTCTCCTGCCTCAGCCTCCCAAGTAGCTGAGACTACACGCATGTGCCACCACGTCCAGCTAATTTTTGAATATTTAGTAGAGAAGGGGTTTCACCATGTTGACCAGGATGGTCTTGATCTCTTGACCTTGTGATCCACCTGCCTCAGCCTCCCAAAATGCTGGGATTACAGGTATGAGCCACCGCACCCAGCTGGTGAATTAACTTTTTGATGTGCTGCAGGATTTGGTTTGCTAGTATTTTGTAGAGAATTTTTGTATCTATCCCTGTGTTAGGGATATTGGCCTGTAGTTTTCTTTTTTCATTGTGTCTTTGCCAGGTTTCGGTATGAAGGTGATGATTGCTTCATAAAATGAGTTAGAGAGGAGTCCCTCCTTCTTGGTTTTTTGGAATAGTTTCAGTAGAATTGGTACCAGTTTTTATTCATACATCTGGTAAAATGTGGTTGTAAATCCATCTGGTCCATGGCTTTCTTTGGTTAGTAGGTTTTGTATTAATTATTCAATTTCAGAACTTCATGTTGGTCTGGTCAGGGTTTTAATTTCTTTCTGATTTTATCCTGGAATGTTTTGTTTCCAGGAATTTATCTATCTCCTCTAGATTTTCTAGCCTGTGTGCATAGAAGTGTTCATAATAGTCTCTAGGAATCTTTTGTATTTCTGTGGGATTGGTTGCAATGTCACCTTTGTCATATCTGATTGTGCTTATTTGGATCTCCTCTTTTTCCTTTGTTAAACTAGCTATCAGTCTGTCAATCTTGTTTAACCTTTTAAAGAACCAACTTTGGGTTTTGTTGATTCTTTGTATGGATGTTCGGATCTAAGTTTCATTGAGTTCTACTCTGATTTTAGTTATTTCTTTTCTTCTGCTAGCTTTGGGGTTCATTTGTTCCTGTTTTTCTAGCTCCTCTAGGTGTGATGTTAGATGATTTATTTGAGATCTAAGTTTCCTAGGTAGGTGTTTAGTACTATAAACTTTCCTCTTAACACTGCTTTTACTGCATCGCAGAGATTTTTATGTTTTGTCTCTGTTTTCATTTATTTCAAAGAATTTTTTTATTCCTGCCTTAACTTTATTGCCTTCAGGAGTAAGTTGTTTAATTTCCATGTAATTTTGGGGTTTTAAGAGATCCTCTTGGTATTGATTAGTGTTTTTATTTCACTGTGGTCCAAGAGTATGCTTGATATGATTTTGATTTTTTTGAATTTATTGACACATGCTGTATGGCTGAGCATGTGGTTGATTTTAGAGTATTCTATGTACAGATGGCAAGAATGTATATTCTGCGGTTGATGGGTGTGGAGTATTCTATAGATATCTGTTAGGTTCAATTGGTCATGTGTCAAACTTATGTCCAGAATATACATGTAGGTTTTCTGCCTCGATGATCTGTCTAATGGTGTCAGTGGGGTATTGAAGTCCCCCATTAATATTGTGCATTTGTCTAAGTCTTTTTATAATTCTATAAGTAGTTGTTTTAAGAATCTGGTGCTCCAATGTTGGGTATGTATATATTTAGGGCAATTAAATCTTCCGGTTGAATTGAACCTTTTATCATTATATAGTTTCCTTCTTTGTCCTTTTTAACTGTTGTTGGCTTAAAGTCTGGTTTTTTTGATATAAGAATAGCAATCCCTGCTCTTTTTTGTTTTCCATTAGCTTAGTAGATCTCTCTCCAGCTCTTTACTTTAAGCCTATTGGTCTCATTACATGTGAGATGGCTCTCTTGAACAAAGCAAACAGATAGGTCTTTTTTTTTTTAATCCAACTATATGGTCTGTGCCTTTTAAGTGGGGATGTTTAGACCATTTGCATTTAGGGTTAATATTAATATGTGAGCTTTGGTTCTATCATGAAGTTACTAGCTAATTGCTCTGTAGTTTCTATTGTGTGGTTGCTTTGTAGGGTCTATAGACTGCCAAATGCTGATTTTCTAACTCTACCTTTCTGTCTATATTTCTTAGTTGGCATTCTACTCTGAAGAAGAGCTTGTCTTTATTCCCCTGTCCTGGCCCTATTGCCACATAGCAAAACACTCCAAGATTAGAGGCATAAAACAACAACCGTTTTGTTATAGTTACACATACCTGTAGTCAGGAGTCTAGAAAGTGCATAGTGAAGAGAGACTTTCACTACCCTATCATTTCTCTTTTAACAACAAGCAGCCAGAAAGGGCAGACAGTAAAACACAGATAAGACAACTCAGGCACAGAGGGAGCAGGGGGGAAGTCTCTTGGGTAACTGCCAAACTTCACCTTCATACAGTGGGCCCCAGTAAAACACTGGGCCATAATAAGCACATTCCTTTCCCTTCAGGTGCGCTAAGATAGATAGGAGCTAAAAGCAGACTCGGTGGGTATGCCTGCAGCTGCATGAAGATGTATGGGAACAGACACAAAACTCTCCCTCCCAGATAAGCACAACAAAGAGACACAGAAGTAATCCAAGCCTCTGATAAACTCTCCTGCCCTGAATCCTTAAAAACTCTTAGTCTGTAAAAGAGAGTGCCTCTGACCTAACTCAGCCAGAAGCCCCACTCAGGTTTATTTTCCAAAATAAACCTATCTTTAACAGTGAAGCTGCTTTTCATGTTTCCTTCCTCTTTCTTTAATTCTTACACCTTTAAAGACAGTATAAATAAAATACTGTGAAATCAGTACTTAAGGACTATAAGTGTATTTTGTCTTCACAAGGTAGAAATTATGCTTTCACAGTATAAATAAAATACTGTGTATAAAGGTAAATTGGTTTATTCTCCCATCCTTCACCCACACTTCAGTCTGATTATGTTATTTATTAGAGATAGGCTCATTTTTTTCTTGATTATATTCCATTTTAGGATATTTTACCTATCCTTTTTGATATTATTTTATATTTTAGGTAAGTAAAACATTAATATAATACCAAAATTTAAAACTATGCAAAAAATAGAAATACTGAGAGAAGTGCTAACTCTTCATCCATTCAACCCCATTCTCACCCATATCCTATAGGTAATCAAACTCATTAGTTTCTATTTATCCTTCATATGTTTCATTTTGAAAAAATACCAGACATATTTGTTTTAGGCTAAATATTTTTATCTGATTACAACTTTAAACTTACCTCATAGATACTGGTATGTGCTGATTTCACTAACATTAGACCATTTTCTTCTTTGTCTCTTCCTTCTCCTTCCACTTTTTAGTTGCACTATTTCTACCTTATGAAGACAAATAAAAATTATATAGTATTCTTCCTCCCTCATCTTTGCGTTTGATAAATCTACAATTAATACTCACAATAACCTCTTTTCTACAGTTTCCCCAATAGTCTCTTGGTTAGATGCTTATCCTCTGGTAGATTCCTTAAGCAGGGCTTGTGGATATAATAGTCCTTAAATTCTTCAATCATTAAAATGGTTTTTATGTATTCTTACTATTTGAAGAATAGTTTGGCTAGACATAACATCTTTGTTTCATAATTTCTCTCCTTTAGATTTTTTCCAGTGCTGTTACACTATTGCTTTCCTTCATGCATTTATTTTTTAAGTCAAGCTTATGGAGGTAAATTTTACGTACAGTAAAACTTACCCTTTTAATGGGTGCAGTTTGATGAGTTTCAGAAAATATATAAGGTCATGTAACAACCACCAAAATAAAAATATATAAACCACCACCAACCACCATAATAAATATATTTCCACGTCCCCAAAAAGTTTTCTCCTCCCCTTTTATAATCAACACACTCTTTGCATCCAGAGGCCCTGGAAAACACTAATCTACTTTCTGTTCCTGTAATTCTGCCTTTCCTAAAATTTTATATAAATAGATTCATATACTTTATAGTCTTTTGTGTCTTTTAGCATAATACTTTTGTGATTTATCCATGTTCTAGCAACACTCAATGGTTTCAACATACTAACTATAGCTACAACATGATTTTTTATTTATTTACCAGTTGATTGATAGTTGTGTTGCTTCTAGTTTCTAACTATTATGAATACAGTTGCTTCAAATATTTACGTGAAGGTTTTGTATGAACATATGTTTTTATTTCTCAAGAACACATACCTAGGAATAAAATTTCTGGGTTATATAATAAGTTTATGCTTATTTATTATTATTATTTTTATTATTATTATTGAAATGAGATCTCATTCTTTTGCCCAGGCTGGAGTGCAGTGGTGTACTCACAGTTCACTGCAGCCTCAACCTCCCTGGGCTCAGGTAATCCTCCCACCTCAGACTCCTGAATAGCTGGGACCACAGACATGTGCCCACACACCTCCGTATATATATGTATATATGTGTGTGTGTGTGTATATATATATGTATATGTGTGTGTGTGTGTGTGTGTGTGTGTATATATATATATATATATATATATATATATATTTTTTTTTTTTTTTTTTTTTTTTTTAAGAGAGTTTCACCGTGTTGCCTGAGCTAGTCTCAAACTCCCGGGCTCAAGAGATCTGCCTGCTGCCTCAGCCTCTCAAAGTGCTGGGATTACAACCATGAGCCACCACACCCAGCTATTTATGTTTAACTTTGTAAATACATATCAAACTGTATGTTATTTTTGAGAAATCAAATTCCAGTGTAACTCTTATTCTTGTAAGTTAACTTGATTTTTTTTGCCCTGAGAACCTAAGGACTTTTTCTTTCTGTTTAAAGTCTGATAGATTTACCAAGATATGTATCAGAGTTCATTGTTCTGAATGAATTTTCAGAGAGTGAACCGTTTCATATGTGGATTTATTCTGTTTTTCAGGAATTTTTCTTGAATCATTGTTTCAAATTTTAGTTATCTTGTTTTTCTTTTTAGGCAAGCAAATTATGCAACATGTGCATTAGACCTTCTTTGCCTAATTTCCATTGCACTCACTCTCTCTGACCCTTATAACTCATCCATTTATCTTGTGTTCATTCACTTTGCTGTTCATTCACTCTGCTTTTATCTTGTGTTCATTTACTCTGCTTTTCTTCAATTGTTTGTATTAATTTTCCATTTGAGTTCATTCACTTTGCTGTTCATTCACTCTGCATTTATCTTGTGTTCATTCACTCTGCTTTTCTTCAATTGTTTGTCTTAATTTTCCATTTGAGTTTATTTAAGAGGAAGGCACCTTATAATTTAACCTTTGTTTCTAAGATATTTTTTCTTTTTCCTCTATTTCTTCCCTGAATTTTTCAATCCACTCTTACTTAATTTGTCTCTTTTTTCCTTTTTTGGCCAATTTTAGTTTTAAGTCTATGTATTTTTTAATTTCCTGTAATGCTTGTCAATTTTTTTTTCAGTCTTCTTCTGCTGCATGTTTTCATTTAGAGAGGTAATTTTTATCTGCTAAAATATGTTGATTCTAACATTATGTTTTCTTTTTCTAGAAGCTTTCTTTAAATGAAGACTACTACATTTCTGTATTTTGTGGACAGGGTTGGCAGTTTGAGATAACTTACAAGATTCCTGTTTCAAGAATACTTTCTTCTGTCAATATAATGGAACACAACTCCTTTACTGGATCTTTTTTAAATGTTGGAGGAAGACTGTCTGCTTATTTTGAGGACCAGTCTGAAAATATTTGGCAAAAGACAGTATGTACACATCCTGTGGCTGATAATATTTTATAGAAAAAATACGTATACACAAGGACACATGAATGAAAATATTTACCACAGCACTCTTTGTAAAAGGAAGAGTTCAAAACTACCTGGGGTTTCCCAATAGTAAATAGAAATCAAAATATGGTATATACAAGTGATGGGGTAATAATACTGAATGTAAAAAGAAAGTAATAAGCAGAATAAATGTTTAACATGACAATATGTATGTAAGTTAAATGGCACAAGCATGGGTAAAATTTGAGACCAGGGATGATTAGTAAAAGAAAAGAAAATGCATAGAAAGAGAAACATACATGGATATATGATAGCTTTCTGCAAACTCAGAATTGCAAGTAATCCAATTTTGTATAGTTGAAGTTTAATATTTTTATAAATTAAGTAGAACCACTAAAATAATACAAATACAAAAATTACTTGCTGAGAAGTTGCTGGTGCCAGTCCCATGAGGGCAAGGCTTGCCTTAAGTGATTAAGAAGCATGGCCGGCCGGGTGCAGTGGCTCGCGCCTGTAATCCCAGCCCTTTGGGAGGCTGAGGCAGGCAGATCACAAGGTCAAGAGATCAAGACCATCCTGGCCCCCATGGTGAAACCCTGTCTCTACTAAAAATACAAAAATTAGCTGGGCGTGGTGGTGCGCGCCTGTAATCCCAGCTACTCGGGAGTCTGAGGCAGGAGAATCGCTTGAACCCAGGAGGCAGAGGTTGCAGTGAGCCAAGATCACGCCACTGCACTCCAGACTGGCCCAGCCTGGCAACAGAATGAGACTCCATCTCAAAAAAAGCATGGCCAGCAGATTCTTGACCTGATTTCAAGAATACCTTCTTCTGTCAATACAATGAAACATGACTCCTTTACTGGATCTTTTTGAATCATGTGAAATCACCTCATTACAGCATTTGCCATTTTTACTCACTTAGTATGTGATAAGAGAGAGCTGTTCTCAATTTCTGAACCATAAATAAATAAATGGTAATCTGGCAATGGTAATGATGTAATACAGCAGCCAAGCACTTAGCAAAATAAGCCCAGTATAAATACCATTGAAAAGATAAATCAAATTTGTCCACCTCAATGTTATTGAAGCCTCTAATTTTAGGAAAAATATTTTAAATGTCAACCTTAGAATACCTAATCCAAATATTTAATTTCCTACCAAAACTTTGGAGTTTTTAAATAGATGGAATTTCAGCCAATTTTATGATTACAATGGAAAAAAACTGGGACAAATAAATTGTCAGCTTTCAGGAGCCAAAAAGAAGGCTTATTTACCAGTAAGCCTTCCTCTGCGATTTTATCACACACCTGCCAACACTTATCTGCCTGCACCCAGCAGGACATACATAAACAAAACAGGAAGCAGGAAACTGCTTTACCCTCTTTTTCTATCTTATGTGTCCCTACTCACCTTCATTGATTCCAGGAAAATTTTCCTGACCTCCTTCTGCCCCAAATCTGCCTTTTGGTTATTCTTTTCATTTGGCTTAGTTGAAATCCATTTATCGCCTGTTCTTCTTAGAGTTGCATAAAAAACTTATACTCTGGACTTGGCCCACACTTCATAGTTATATATATCCCTAATGTAAGTGATTCTACTCATGAATACTTGCAAAAGCTATTATATTCCAACCATACTCAACTCCTAAACCTGATTTCATTCTCTATTTCCTACCATCTGGCTTTAACAAACTGGCCAAACATTTTATTTTTTCTTATATTGTGTATGTATTCGAGTTTTTTTTATTATCAAACCTGGGGAGTTAGGATTTAAAGATGGTGTATTTGAGACTGTACATGCAAATTTTTCTCTACAAATGAGATACAAAGGAAAGAAAAAATGAAGGAAGGAGAATTCTAAGACATACTTCTATTTAGTTTTTTTCAGTCTATTTGGACTGTGATAGACAGTCACATAATAACACTTCAGTCAACAATGGAGCTCATATAAAATAGTGGTTCCATAAGATTATAATGGACCTAAAATATTCTCTTTTTTTAATGTCAAAATTTTGATTCTGTGTTACTTCTATTGAGGTAAAACTTACATACAATAAAGTGCACAAAACCCAACTGCATACCTCTGATTTTTTATACATATATACTCATGTCATCCCCCTTTCCGGAACCCTTGAAGGCTCTCTCATGTCCATTCCCAGTCAGTATCCCCCAAGAGTAAGCACTTTTCTGACTCAAATCACCATAGATCAGCTTTGCCCGTTTTTGCCCTTAGTATAAATAGAAGCGTCTATTAACACTCAGATCAAGATAGCACCCTAACAAGATTTATGGTGCCCTCTTTCAGGCAGTGTGCCCCAAAGTCAATCATTATTAAGCTTCTGTTGCCGTAGAATAGTTTTGACTTTTCTTAAATTTTATATAAATAAAATTGTATTATATTTATTCTTTTGATTCTGGCTTCTTTTGTTCAACCAAGTGTTTTGAGATTCGTTTGTGTTGTTGCATATATCAATAGTTCATTACTTCTTATTGTGGTGTGGAATTTCATGGTTTTAATATACCAGAAATTGCCTATCCACTATTGAATATTTAAATTGTTTGAAGTTTGTATATTATTAATAAAGATTCCATGATCATTCTTGTAACTTTTATTAGTGGACACAGTAAGTCATTTCTTTTGTGTATACACCAGGGAGTAAAAATACTGAATTATAGTGTAGGCATATATATAGTTTTGGAGGAAACTGCCAAGCAATTTTTCAAAGTAGCTGTATAAATTTACTCCCCCTTCAGCAATGCGCAAGAATTCCAGTTCCTCTACATTCATACTAATACTTGATATGTCAGTTCTCATTTTAGCCATTCTGGTGGGTGCATAGTGGTATATCATTGTGATTTTCATTTGCATTCCCTAATGATTGATAATAATTACCATATTTTCATATGCATATTGTCTATTTATTCCCCTATTTCTATGAAGCACTTGCACAAATCCCTGGCTTATTTTATATTGGGCTGTCTTACTTTTTCTTACTGACTTGTAGGAGTTCTTTATAAATTATGGATCTAAATTACTTGTCTATTTCTGTAATGAAAATATCTTTTCTCCAGAGAGTAGTTTATCTTTTCATATTTAAAAAAAATTATTTTAGAAAAAATCATGATTTTAGTAAAAATGTGTTTTATGGTTGATGCTTTGTATTCTATTTAATGAATAGAATGAATTATCTTTTCCCATGCCATAGAATTTTTTCCCATGTTTTCTTCTAGAAATGCTATGGTTTTCCCTTCATATTTAAGTGAACAATAATATGGAAACAATTTTAACATATGGTATGAGGTATAGGATGTCCGTGTTTTTTTTCCTATAGGGATATCCAATTGACCTACCTCAGTTATTGAAAGGAATGACTTCACCACTGCATTGTAGTGGCAAAAAATTCTTTTCACTCAGTGATGTCATAGCCATCATAAGATCATAGTGAAACACATCACTCCTGTGATGCTGGTGTATACTACTGTGCTGCCAGTAGTATAAAAATATAGCACATACAATTATGTATAATGTATAATATCTGATAATGATAATAAGCAACCGTGTTACTGGTTATGTATTTACCACACTATACGTATATTGTTGCTTTAGAGTATATTTTTTCTACTTAAAAAAAATGAAAGTTAACTGTAAAACAGCCTCAGGTGGGTCATTCAGGAGGTATCCCAGAAGAAGGCACTGTTATCATAGGAAATGACAGCTCCATGCATGTTATAATGCCTGATGATTTTCCAGTGGAACAAGACACAGGTGAAAGGCAGTGATGTTGATGATCTTGATCCCATGCAGACTTAGGCTAATGTATGTGTTTGGGTTTTAGTTTCTAACAAAAAAGAGTTTAAAAAGTAAAAAAAAAAAGAATAGAAAAAAGATTATAGAATAAAAATAAAAAGAAAGAAAATATTTTTGCAAACCTGTAGAATTACAAAAGAGTCAGAGTTAAAAAAGTAAAAAGTGTATAAAGTAAAAATGTTACAGTAAGGTAAGTTTAATTTATTACTGAAGAAAGAAAAATATTTTTATAAATTTGTTGTAGCCTAACTGTAAAGTGTTTATAAGTCTGTAGTAGCATACAGTAATGTCCTAGGCCTTCTCTTTCACTCACCACTCACTGACTCACCCAGAGCTACTTCCAGTCCTGCAAATTCCATTCGTGGAAAGTGTAATACACAGGTATATGAGCTTTTATCTTTATACTGTATTTTTACTGTACCTTTTCTATGCTTACATATATTTAGATACAGAAATACTTATTGCAATTGTATTGCAATTGCCTATAGTACTCAGTACAGTAACATGCTGCACAGGTTTATTGCCTAAGAACAATAGGCAATAAAATATAGCCCAGGTATGCAGTAGGATATACCATTTGTTTTGTGTAAGCACACTCTACGATGTTTGATAGCACACTCTATGATGTTTCTGTGATGTTTGCACAATGATGAAATTACCTAACAATGCATTTCTCAAAATATATCCCCACTGTCAAGCAATCCATATGAATGAAAAGTGATCAGACACCCTTGTCTGTCTGGGTCTTAAGAGGAAATAAGCTAGTGGAAAATAAAACCCATGCATACACGCACACAGACACACAGACACATACACACACACAAAACACACCTACACATCTTTTTCTGATGCGGCAACCTTAGACGAGTGGGACAATTTGAGGCTGGAGCTACCGAAGGTAGGGTAGGGAATATTGTTGGTTCTGTAGTCACTGTTGCATACATCCTATCAGAGTTATGATCTAGGACCAATGATTGGAAAGATGAGCACCCACTCTTCTAGAGGAATAATTGACATTATAACCACTGTAGCCTACGTCCTTTGCAAGAATAAGTATGCTCAGACCTGTGAGAGCCTTGTACACTAGGCTGAGAGGTAATAGAATGAAGCTATTTAAGACATTGTTGTCATTCCTATCTTTACTTTTCTGTTTCCAGTAAATGATATTCTTTTCTGTTTTGTAAGTACATTGGCTTAAAGGATGCTTGGGTAAATTTAATCATGAAGATGAGCTAGAGATAGATTTAAAAAATGAACTGCAAATCATTGAAGTTAACCCACAGAAGTCTATTATACAGCATAGGTGCAGACACAGCTTTGATCAATTCGGTTTTCTCTTCATGCTTGCTCCAGTTCTAGGGCCTTCACTGCCTCTTGGGTGGTTCTGGTTGCAATCAGACAATCTTCAAGGTCCACTCTGGGAAATAAAGTGATACTTAGCTCCTAGGAAGTACCCAGTTTACCTTCAGAACTGTCTTAATTTTAAACTATGTAAAAGTCTCCAACCTCACCTCACCTCTCTGGCCATGTTTTCCTTTCTCCTTTCTTTTATAACAAACTGTATTGGAAATGTGTTGTTTTTCATGAGAATTTGCTGCACGTGTGTTCTATAGAGGGGGCAATCCCTAGCAATAGATCCCTCTTCCCTTTCCGCCTGCAAGTCTGAGAGCAAGAGAGTAGAACTCATAGCATTCATTCATTCATTCAACACCATTTAGCACATCAATATGTGACTGGATCTTTGCTCAGTTGCTGAACATATAAGGAGGAAAAACAACACAGTGTTGTAGTTATATGATTTCCTTTGTCTATAGTTCATCTGTTGGCAGTAAGAACAATAATGTGTTTCTGGTTAATATCCTGCTAGATCACAGTTCTCTATTCGTAAGTCCAATTCAGAGAATTTTTCATGTGTGCTATTTGTAAGGAGATGTACATGTGTGTTAAGGGGATTCCAGTGGTTTTTTGAAAAAGCTAACCAAGGATAAAAGAAGTCCTGGAGCAATCCTGAAGGAGGTAAGACCCTGGACACGTCAGCCTTCTCTATTTGGGAGACCCCACTCTGAAGCTCTGAGGCTGGGGTCTCCCTTCAGGAGGGATGTATGTTTATTTTTCTGTCACAGGAACAAAAATAAATGCTTTGTGTTCAGAGTGTTCTGCGGCTTCAAAGAGATTTGGGAATCCAAAGTTAGCAGGGTCAGCTTTCAAATTTCAGTTTCAGGATAATATTTTTAAAGAGCTATATATGAAAGCAAAAGTAAACTTTTGAAATATTGTAAAATATGGTTTTTGCCTCAAGACCTAATTACCTCCGACTCACAGGAGGCTGGGAAGAGGGTTCTAACTAAATATTTACTTCAGTGGATGCCCTCTCATCACAGAAAACTGACAGTGCCTAATCCATGTATTCAGACTGTCAAAATAAAAACTTTTTAGGTTTATTCACAAGGTGTGCGATTTTATTTCTGACTTTTATATAAAATCTAGTATAACTTAAGCCACATGCATGTATGCACACTGGAGCTGGCACTCACTTCTTCCTAGAGTCAGCACTCATCACTACCAATCAACCAATTTGTAGATAAGCACACACAGAGCGCTTCCATACACCAGAAGTTGTGCAAGATCTATGTAGTCCAATGTAACCCTTGAGAAACTTATGGGACACCATCAAGTAAACCAATATACAGATTATAAAAGTCCCAAAAAGAAAAGAGAAAGAGAAAAACCAGAAAGTTATTCAAAGAAATAATGGCTGAAAAATTCCCATATCTGGGGAAGGAAAGG
Organism: Homo sapiens; assembly: GCF_000001405.40. Lineage (NCBI taxonomy): Eukaryota > Metazoa > Chordata > Mammalia > Primates > Hominidae > Homo > Homo sapiens. The sequence goes on along the minus strand of NC_000010.11, from coordinate 90,018,464 downwards.
AACATCCAGATCCAGAAGCCCAAAGGATCCCAAATTGGATAAACCCAAAGAACTCCACACAAAGACATATATTTATCGAATTGTCAAAAGTCAAAGACAGAATTTTGAAAACATCAAGAGAAAAGTGACTCATCACATGCAAGGGCATATCCCTATAAGACTATGAGCATGTTTTTCTGCAAAAGCCGTGCAGTCCAGAAGGGACTGGTATGATCAATTCAAAGGATTCAGGAATACTATATCCAGCAAATCTGTCCTTCAAAGATGAAAGAGAAATACTTTCCCAGACAAACATGAGCTGAGGGAGTTTACTGCCACTACCTGCCTTACAAGTAATGCTAACTGGGGTTCTTCCAGTTGAAATGAAAAGATGCCAAAAAGAAATATGATAGCATAAGGAAATATAAAATGCATTGGTAAAGATAACTATATAAACAAATATAGAATATTGTTTTATTGTAATGGTGGTGGGTAAATCACTTTTCATTATACTATAAGAGTTTAAGACAAAAGTATTAAAAAATAACTATAATTTAAAAAATATGTTCATGGATACACAGCATAAGAAGATATAAATTGTGACATTAATAACATATCATAGGAATAGAGAGTAAAAGTGTAGTAACAATTGAAGTTAAACAATTGAAGTTAAGTTGTTATCAGCTCAAAATAGACTGCTATAAGATACTTTATATAAGCCCTATGGGAACCACAAAGAAAATACTTACGAAAGTTATATACAAAAGAGAGAAAGAAATCAAAGCATACCAATACAAAAACAAAAAATGTCAATGAAACACAAAGGAAGAGAGAAATAGGGGCAAAAGAACTATATGACCAACAGAAAACAATTACTAATAGTAAACTCTTCCCAATTAAGAATTACCTGAAATAAAAGGATTATATAGAAATTAATCATAATATACCTTTATATCCCACTTTCAATAACAGATAAGACAACTAAGAAACAGCAGAATTGAACAAAAATACAATAGATCAAATGAACCTAATAAACATGCATAGAAACATTCTACTCAACGACAACAAAATATACATTCTTCTCAAGCACAGATGAAACACTCTTCAGAGTAGAAGACATATTCAGTTATAAAACAAGCCTTATCAAATTTAAGAAGACTGAAATCATACCAAGTATATTTTTAATCACCATGGAATGAAACTAGAAATCAATATCAGAAGGAAAACTGGAACATTTACAAATACGTGGAAATTAAGCAACACACTTTTGAAAAATCAATGGATTACAGAAGAAAATAAAAAATATCTTGAGACAAATGAAAACAAAACCACAACATACCAAAACTTATGTAATGCAGTAAAAACAGTAATAAGAGTAAAATTTAGTGATAAATGCTAAATTTAAAAGATCTCAAATAAACAACCTAACTTTACATATCAAGAAACTAGAAAGAGAACACACTAAGCCCAAAGTTAGCAGAAGAAAGAAAACAATGAAGATCAAAGCAAAAATAAACAAATAGAGAATAGATAAAAATCAACAAAACTAAGAGTTGTTTTTTTTCAGAAGAAAAAACTGATAAAATTTTAGCTAGACTAAGAAAAAAGAAAGACTCGAATAATATCATAAACGAAAGAGGAAACATTACAAGTGATGCCACAGAAATAAAAGCAATTGTAAGAGACTACTAGGAACAATTATAGTCCAACAAATTGTATAACACAGAATAAATGGATAAATCTTTAAAAACATGCAACCTACCAATATTAACTTATAAAGAAGTCAAAAGTCTGAATATAGCTATACCTAGTAAGGAGATTGAACCAGTAATCAATTAACTTCTCAACAAAGGAAAGGCCAGGACCACACGTCTTCACTAGTGAATTCTACTAAACATGTAAAGAATTAACATAAAGTCTTCTCAACCTCTTCAAAAAAATTGAAGAGGAAGGAACACTTTTAAACCCACTTTATGAGGCCAGAATTATCATGATGCCATAGCCAGACAAAGACACCACAAGAAAAGAAAGCTGCAGGCCAATATCCCTGATGAATATAGACTTGAAAGTCCTCAGCAAAATACTAGCAAATCAAATCCAATAGCACATTAAATGAATTACTCACTGTGACCACATGGGATTTATCCCTCGGTTACAAGAATGTTTTAACATACTAAAATCAATCAATGTGATGTACTACATTAACAAAATAAAGGGTGAAAACCACATGATCATCTCAATAGATGCAGCAGAAGCACTGACAAACTTCTACACACTTTCATGACAAAAACTCTCAACGAACTAGGAACTGAATATAATAAAGGTCATATGTGAAAAGCTCACACTTAATGGTGAAAACCTGAAAGCCTTTCCTCCAAGAGCAAGAATAAGACAAAGATACCCATTCTCACTACATTCAGTGTAATACTGGAAGTCCTAGCCAGAGCAACTAGGCAAGAAAAGGAAGTAAAAGGCATCAAATTAGACAGGAAGAAGTAAAATTGTTCCTGTTTACAAATGACCTGATTGTATATATAGAAAACCCTAGACTTCAAAAAAAAAATAAAAATCCTGTTAGAACTAACAAACAAGTCCATAAAGTTGCAAGATAGAAAATCAACATTGCATTAGTATACACTAACAAAAAAATCTGAAAATAAAGAAGACACAAATAGGAAGACAACCCATGTTCGTGGACTGGAAGAATTAATATTGTGAAAATGTCCCTACTGCCCAAAGCAAATTACAGATTCAGTGCATCCTTATTGTTTTTTTTTTTTTTACAGAAATAGAAAAAAAAACCTGAAATTTATATATAACTACAAAGGACTTGGAACAGCAAAGAAAATCTTTTTTTTTTTACCATTATTATTTCTTTTTTTTTTTAAGGTTTTTTCTCTTTTATTATTATACTTTAAGTTTTAGGGTACATGTGCACATTGTGCAGGTTAGTTACATATGTATACATATGCCATGCTGGTGCGCTGCACCCACTAACTTGTCATCTAGCATTAGGTATATCTCCCAGTGCTATCCCTCCCCGCTACCCCACAACAGTCCCCAGAGTGTGATGTTCCCCTTCCTGTGTCCATGTGATCTCAGTGTTCAATTCCCACCTATGAGTGAGAATATGCAGTGTTTGGTTTTCTGTTCTTGCGATAGTTTACTGAGAATGATGATTTCCAATTTCATCCATGTCCCTACAAAGGACATGAACTCATCATTTTTTATGGCTGCATAGTATTCCATGGTGTATATGTGCCACATTTTCTTCATCCAGTCTATCATTGTTGGACATTTGGGTTGGTTCCAAGTCTTTGCTATTGTGAATAATGCCACAATAAACATATGTGTGCATGTGTCTTTATAGCAGCATGATTTATAGTCCTTTGGGTATATACCCAGTAATGGGAAGCCTGGGTCAAATGGTATTTCTAGTTCTAGATCCCTGAGGAATCGCCACACTGACTTCCACAATGGTTGAACTAGTTTACAGTCCCACCAACAGTGTAAAAGTGTTCCTATTTCTCCACATCCTCTCCAGCACCTGTTGTTTCCTGACTTTTTAATGATTGCCATTCTAACTGGTGTGAGATGGTATCTCATTATGGTTTTGATTTGCATTTCTCTGATGGCCAGTGATGATGAGCATTTTTTCATGTGTCTGTTGGCTGCATAAATGTCTTCTTTTGAGAAGTGTCTGTTCATATCCTTCACCCACTTTTTGATGGGGTTGTTTGTTTTTTTCTTGTAAATTTGTTTGAGTTCATTGTAGATTCTGGATATTAGCCCATTGTCAGATGAGTAGGTTGCGAAAATTTTCTCCCATTTTGTAGGTTGCCTGTTCACTCTGATGGTAGTTTCTTTTGCTGTGCAGAAGCTCTTTAGTTTAATTAGGTCCCATTTGTCAATTTTGGCTTTTGTTGCCATTGCTTTTGGTGTTTTGGACATGAAATCCTTGCCCATGCCTATGTCCTGAATGGTAATGCCTAGGTTTTCTTCTAGTGTTTTTATGGTTTTAGGTCTAACGTTTAAGTCTTTAATCCATCTTGAATTGATTTTTGTATAAGGTGTAAGGAAGGGATCCAGTTTCAGCTTTCTACATATGGCTAGCCAGTTTTCCCAGCACCATTTATTAAATAGGGAATCCTTTCCCCATTTCTTGTTTTTCTCAGGTTTGTCAAAGATCAGATAGTTGTAGATATGCGGCGTTATTTCTGAGGGCTCTGTTCTGTTCCATTGATCTATATCTCTGTTTTGGTACCAGTACCATGCTGTTTTGGTTACTGTAGCCTTGTAGTATAGTTTGAAGCCAGGTAGTGTGATGCCTCCAGCTTTGTTCTTTTGGCTTAGGATTGCCTTGGCGATGCGGGCTCTTTTTTGGTTCCATATGAACTTTAAAGTAGTTTTTTCCAATTTTGTGAAGAAAGTCATTGGTAGCTTTATGGGGATGGCATTGAATCTGTAAATTACCTTGGGCAGTATGGCCATTTTCACGATAGTGATTCTTCCTACCCATGAGCATGGAATGTTCTTCCATTTGTTTGTATCCTCTTTTATTTCCTTGAGCAGTGGTTTGTAGTTCTCCTTGAAGAGGTCCTTCACATCCCTTGTAAGTTGGATTCCTAGGTATTTTATTCTCTTTGAAGCAATTGTGAATGGGAGTTCACTCATGATTTGGCTCTCTGTTTGTCTGTTGTTGGTGTATAAGAATGCTTGTGATTTTTGTACATTGATTTTTTATCCTGAGACTTTGCTGAAGTTGCTTATCAGCTTAAGGAGATTTTGGGCTGAAACAATGGGGTTTTCTAGATATACAATCATGTCATCTGCAAACAGGGACAATTTGACTTCCTCTTTTCCTAATTGAATACTGTTTATTTCCTTCTCCTGCCTAATTGCGCTGGCCAGAACTTCCAACACTATGTTGAATAGGAGTGGTGAGAGAGGGCATCCCTGTCTTGTGCCAGTTTTCAAAGGGAATGCTTCCAGTTTTTGCCCATTCAGTATGATTTTGGCTGTGGGTTTGTCATAGATAGCTCTTATTATTTTGAAATACGTCCCATCAATACCTAATTTATTGAGAGTTTTTAGCATGAAGGCTTGTTGAATTTTGTCAAAGGCCTTTTCTGCATCTATTGAGATAATCATGTGGTTTTTGTCTTTGGCTCTGTTTATATGCTGGATTACATTTATTGATTTGCGTATATTGAAACAGCCTTGCATCCCAGGGATGAAGCCCACTTGATCATGGTGGATAAGCTTTTTGATGTGCTGCTGGATTCGGTTTGCCAGTATTTTATTGAGGATTTTTGCATCAATGTTCATCAAGGATATTGGTCTAAAATTCTCTTTTTTGGTTGTGTCTCTGCCCGGCTTTGGTATCAGAATGATGCTGGCCTCATAAAACGAGTTAGGGAGGATTCCCTCTTTTTCTATTGATTGGAATAGTTTCAGAAGGAATGGTACCAGTTCCTCCTTGTACCTCTGGTAGAATTCGGCTGTGAATCCATCTGGTCCTGGACTCTTTTTGTTGGTAAACTATTGATTATTGCCACAATTTCAGATCCTGTTATTGGTCTATTCAGAGATTCAACTTCTTCCTGGTTTAGTCTTGGGAGAGTGTATGTGTCCAGGAATTTATCCATTTCTTCTAGATTTTCTAGTTTATTTGCATAGAGGTGTTTGTAGTATTCTCTGATGGTAGTTTGTATTTCTGTGGGATCAGTGGTGATATCCCCTTTATCATTTTTTATTGTGTCTATTTGATTCTTCTCTCTTTTTTTCTTTATTAGTCTTGCTAGCAGCCTATCTACTTTGTTGATCCTTTCAAAAAACCAGCTCCTGGATTCATTAATTTTTTGAAGGGTTTTTTGTGTCTCTATTTCCTTCAGTTCTGCTCTGATTTTAGTTATTTCTTGCCTTCTGCTAGCTTTTGAATGTGTTTGCTCTTGCTTTTCTAGCTCTTTTAATTGTGATGTTAGGGTGTCAATTTTGGATCTTTCCTGCTTTCTCTTGTGGGCATTTAGTGCTATAAATTTCCCTCTACACACTGCTTTGAATGCGTCCCAGGGATTCTGGTATGTTGTGTCTTTGTTCTCGTTGGTTTCAAAGAACATCTTTATTTCTGCCTTCATTTTGTTATGTATCCAGTAGTCATTCAGGAGCAGGTTGTTCAATTTCCATGTAGTTGAGTGGTTTTGAGTGAGATTCTTAATCCTGAGTTCTAGTTTGATTGCACTGTGGTCTGAGAGACAGTTATAACAGAGATTATAACAAACTGTTATTCTAGTTATACATTCTTCTAAATTTTTTTCAAAGTTTTCAACTTCTTTGCCTTTGGTTTGAATGTCCTCCTGTAGCTCAGAGTAATTTGATCGTCTGAAGCCTTCTTCTCTCAGCTCGTCAAAGTCATTCTCCATCCAGCTTTGTTCCGTTGCTGGTGAGGAACTGCATTCCTTCAGAGGAGGAGAGGTGCTCTGCGTTTTAGAGTTTCCAGTTTTTCTGTTCTGTTTTTTCCCCATCTTTGTGGTTTTATCTACTTTTGGTCTTTGATGATGGTGATGTACAGATGGGTTTTTGGTGTGGATGTCCTTTCTGTTTGTTAGTTTTCCTTCTAACAGACAGGACCCTCAGCTGCAGGTCTGTTGGAATATCCTGCCTTGTGACGTGTCAGTGTGCCCCTGCTGGGGGTGCCTCCCAGTTAGGCTGCTCGGGGGTCAGGGGTCAGGGACCCACTTGAGGAGGCAGTCTGCCCGTTCTCAGATCTCCAGCTGCCTGCTGGGAGAACCACTGCTCTCTTCAAAGCTGTCAGACAGGGACATTTAAGTCTGCAGAGGTTACTGCTGTCTTTTTGTTTGTCTGTGCCCTGCCCCCAGAGGTGGAGCCTACAGAGGCAGGCAGGCCTCCTTGAGCTGTGGTGGGCTCCACCCAGTTCGAGCTTCCCTGCTGCTTTGTTTACCTAAGCAAGCCTGGTCAATGGCGGGCGCCCCTCCCCGAGCCTCGCTGCCGCCTTGCAGTTTGATCTCAGACTGCTGTGCTAGCAATCAGCGAGACTCCGTGGGCGTAGGACCCTCTGAGCCAGGTGCAGGATATAATCTCGTGGTGCACCGTTTTTTAAGCCCATCAGAAAAGCGCAGTATTTGGGTGGGAGTGACCCGATTTTCCAGGTGCCGTCTCTCATCCCTTTCTTTGACTAGGAAAGGGAACTCCCTGACCCCTTGTGCTTCCCGAGTGAGGCAATGCCTCGCCCTGCTTCGGCTCGCACACGGTGCGTGCACCCACTGACCTGCGCCCACTGTCTGGCACTCCCTAGTGAGATGAACCCGGTACCTCAGATGGAAATGCAGAAATCACCTGTCTTCTGCATCGCTCATGCTGGGAGCTGTAGACCGGAGCTGTTCCTATTCGGCCATCTTGGCTCCTCCGTTCAAAGAAAATCTTAAGAATGAAGAACAAAACTAAAAGCATCATACGTCCTGATTTCAAAATATACTACAAAGCTACAATAATTAAAACAGTATGATACTGGCATAAAGACAGACATAAGGACCAATGGAACAAAATAGAGAGCTCAGAGGTAAATACACACATATATAGTCAACTGATCTTCATCAAGAAAGCACAATAGACAAAAGATAGCCTCTTTAACATATGATGCTGGAAAAACTGGACATCCACATGCAAAAGAATGAAATTGGGCCTTTATCTTATACACAAAAGTTGACTCATAATAGATTAATGACTTAAGACCTGAAACTGTAAAATTCTTAGAAGAAAACATACAGTGAAAGCTTCATGACATTGGTCTGAGAAATGAGTTCATGTATATGACACCAAAACACAGGCAACAAAAGCAAAAATTGACAAGTAAGACTTTTGTCCAATGAAAAAACTTCTATACCGAAAGACAACTAGCAACAGAGTGAAAATGTAACCTATGGAATAGGAGAAAATATTTGTAAATGATGTATATGATAAAGAGTTAATTTCCAAAATATATGAGAAACTTATATGTTTGCAATTCATTAGCAAAAAAAAAAAAAAAAACTAATAAACCGATTTTAAAATAGGGTAAATACTTAAATAGACATTTCTCCAAAGAAGACATACAAATGGACAACAGGTATCTAAAAAGATATTTCACCAATCCAAAAAATATAAATCTAAACCACAATGAGATATCACTTCATACCTGTTAGAATAGCTATTATCAAAAATACAAAAGACAAAGAATATTGGCAAGGATGTGGAGGAATTGGAACTCTTGCACAACATAAGTGGAAATGTAAAACAGTGCATCTGCTATGGAAAACAGTGTGGAGATTCCTCAAAAACTTAACTTAAAAACAGAAGTACCATATGCTCCAGCAATCCCATTTCTGGGAATTTACTAAGAATTGACATCAGGATCTTGACAAGACATCTGCACACCCATGTACATTGCAGCATTATTTACTACAGCCAAGATGTAGAAACAACTTAAATGTCCACCAGTGGATGAATGAATAAATAAAATGTGATAAATACATACAATGGAATATTATTCAGCCTTTAAAAGAAGGAAATTCTGTAATATTTAACATGATGAACCTTGAGGACTTATGCTAAGTGAAATAAGCTAGTCACAGGACAAATATTGTATAATTCTAGTTATATGAGGTCTCTAAAATAGTCAAATCCATAGAAACAGAGAGTTGAATGGTGATTGTCAAGTCCTGGAAGAAAAGGATACTAGGGAGGCAGTGATGGGTATAATGTATCAGTTATGCAAGATGAATAAATTCTAGACATTTGCTGTACAATATTGTATCTAAGTTAACAATAGTATATTATACAATTAAAAATCTGTTAAGATCTCATATTAAGCATCCTTACCACAGTTAAAAACAAAAAACAAAACTAAGTTAAGCTAAAGAACAAAACAAACAAAAAGTAAGAATTCCCACCCCCTAAATACAAGAAAACAATATATCAAATGTGTGGAGGCAATTCAGCCCCAAGTATTTCTTCCTTTTGGGTCTATTCAAGGTTCTCCAACAAGACTGCTAGTTCTTTCAAGGTAAGGAGTCCAGTTCATCATTCTTTCTATACCCCCAAGAAACTTCATGAGTGCTGACACACAATTAGTGTTGATGATTTGGTTTTCCAATTATTTGATCCTTCTAATGGTGACAACTTCAGACACTGTGACAAGTAATGGTGAGAGATTTGAGGGCAAATGGACTTTGGTGCCCCAAATCTCCGTTATGTGTAGCATGTGCTGAAAACATTCTGTATTTCTTTGAATTCTGGATCCGCTGTTTACTGTCTGCCTTACTGTGGCTAACTTTCTAACCTCTCTGAGACTCTGTTTCCATACATAGAATAGAAGGCATATAAGAGTAGTAATAGTCCCTTCTTCCTAGTGCTGAGACAATTAAACAAGAGTAACACATGAAAACAACAGAAGCTATGTCTGGCTTACAAGAAGCAGCCAATAACTGTTAACTATTGTTACTACCACTATGTATCATTATTATCATTATTACAAAGATAAGCCTGCAGTGACAGTTGCTATACCTAGAGTGGTAGTTTTTCAAACCAAAGCTCAGAGGTTGGATTTTTATAGTTAGAATTTTATCTGCTATGAATCTAGGAATTACAGTTTATCCTTAACAGTTATAGCATCATCTAACATACTGTACTCTTCCTTCAGTTCCATTAAGTGGGCTCTGCTAATTATTAAGGTAGAAAACTATGTAATTGCCTGTTAAATTCCACCTTCTGGAGAACTGACTTTTAAATGCAGACTCTTCAAAGTTTCTGTGATGTTTAATTCTATGTGTCAACTTGGTGGGTGTTTTGGGATGAGATTAACATATTAGTCCATGGACTTTGAACAGCAGATTGCCTTCCATAATGTGAGTGGGTCTCATCCAATCAGTTGAAGGCCTGAATAGAACAAAAAACCCAATATCCCTGAGCAAGAGGGAATTCTCCAGCAAACTACCTCAGGCTTCATCTGCTGCATAGCTTTTCTGGGTATCCAGTTTGCCAGCCCACAAAGCAGATTTGGGACGTGCCAGCCTTTGTAATTGTGTAAGCTAATTCCTTATAATAAACCTCTTGGTTCAGTTCTTTTCAGAACCCTAAGTAAATCAGCTTCCTAAGACATTTTGTTATCTATGTTCCTTTTAGAATAGTCCAGAAATGTAACACCTACGCCTCCCAGAGCTTTGCCTGGAGGCAGAATAACACAGGAGGTAGACTCAGGCTTTAAAGACCAACATGGGTTCAAATTCCGACTCTGCCATTAACCGTGGATGAATCACTTTATTTCTCCCAGCCTCAGCTTTTTCATCTGGAGAATGGGGGGAAAAAAGCAATTATAAATTTGTTCAGTGCTTGGAAAGCTTCTGGGACATAGTAGACACACAATAAATTGTACTTAACATTACTAACTAGTAAAAACAATATTGTCTACCCCCAAGTGGGCAAGATTGCCACTAATTTGCCTAGTTCTCACAGGAGCTGAAAGAAAAGTACACTTCTTAAATCTCAAAGAATACCCTAGTTTTTATTCACTAATCAATATTCAGCCAAGGACTCTGCCCTATTTTTGTCATTTCTCTGAATGCTGTAAACCTCAGGTAATCAACCTCATTGTTTAGCTGCATTTCTCTCTACAAAGTTATTCGTAACAAGATCACAATTAGGTGCAATTATCTTCAGAGACTGAACTATAATCACCACAGAATGGAATTAAGTTTCCATATTATAAAGGAATTTAAGAAGTAAAGCATCTTGCCATCTTTGACAAACTATTCATTTGCTTGTTCCGTTGCAAAAAAATTATAATTTGAAAAACTGTTTTTTCGACCAAAACCCAATGGGACAGCTCACAGGTTCCTACTTACAACTGGTATTTCCCTAGATAGGATTTCTCACAGGAGAAGAATTTCAATTTATTTAGCACATGTTAAATGCCAGGCACTATGGTTGATGTGTCACACATTTTATCTGATTTCATCCTGACTGCACTTTCATAAAATTGGCATTAGAAATCCTATGTGAATGATTCAAAACTTGAGGCTTAAAGGGGTGAGGTTAATTACCCCATGTCATCAGCATTCAAATCCAGACTTGTCTTATTCCACAGTCTACTGTTGTCAATACTACACTGTCTCCTTCAGGTGAACGGCAACATATTCTTTCTTCCAGAGTTGACAAGTCCCTGAGCATAATGAGAATTCCATGACATGAGCAAAATAGTTGTTTCTTTCTCATTGGTGAGTAAAGTTTTAAAACTATAACATTTGGCTATTTTCCTCTGCTTAATATAGTATATTTTAGTATAATTAACATAACAATGTAATATACTACAAAACACACCTGGCTCAGTGCCTTCTTCCCCAAATCAAGTCCTTTTAGAATCCTGATTGCCTATGATACGCACTTGTACAACGTATCCAGTGCCCTTATTCTTTAATCTTTTCATCCTCAACAACTTTTCTCAAACCTTAGCCAATTAGTTTCATTACCATGAGACTTTGTTATCATAAAAACTATTCTACCACTCAATCATTAACCAAGCATCCCACCATCTGTCCTCTTTTCTTTTGTTTTATTAACTCTCTTCATTTTCAATGACTTTCTGCTGTCCTGGAACAAAAATTAAATTTTTAATAGGGCCTAAAATACCAGCTCCACACCCACTTTTCGAATTTCATATAACACTACTCTCTTTTTAGAAACTCTTGACATCACCATGCACTCTCCCACCTCAGGGCATTTGCACATACTATTTTCTCTACCTGAAATAATCTTCTCATTCCAATCCTTTCACCTACAAAATTCTATTAATTCTTCAGACTCCAACTCTAAATTAGTATGGAACATGTTGAGATAATCAGCTAGTTACTAGAAACAAATAAAACTGAATTCCCATCTAAGATGTTACAACAAAGTGAGTTCCATGTGAATTAAAAATTAGAATAAAAAATAAAAAAACATAAAAGATGAAAATTTAATGAATATGTATATAGACTAGAAGTGGAAAGGCCATTCTAAACAAAACATCAAAGACAGAAAGCATAATGAAAAATATAATTAGATTTTATACATGAAACTTTAAAAAACTTATATATGAAAAAGAACAGAGAAAAAAGATTAACAGGAAAAAATATTATCATATATGAAAACATCAAATTAAAAACATCAAGACATAAAGATCTTATGAATCAATTTATTAAAAATCTAAGCCACAACAGAAAAATGGACAAGGTATATGAAGAATTATTCATAAAAGGACTAAATGTAGTCAAAAAACATGAAAAGATGTTCAGCCTCACTAACAAACAAATACAAATTAAATATCAATTAGATTTATCTTATTTATTTTATTTTATTTTATTTTATTTTGAGATGGAGTTTCGCTCTTGTTGCCCAAGCTGGAGTGCAATGGTGCGATATCGGCTCACTGCAACCTCCGCCTCCCAGGTTCAAGCGATTCTCCTGCCTCAGCCTCCTGAGTAGCTGGGATTACAGGCATGCATCACCATGCCAGGCTAACTTATTTATTTATTTATTTATTTTTTGTATTTTTAGTAGAGACGGGGTTTCACCATGTTGTCCAGGCTGGTCTGGAACTCCTGACCTCAGGTGATCCACCCACCTCGGCCTCCCAAAGTGCTGGGATTACAGGCATGAGCCACCGTGCCTGGTCTATCTTATTTTCTTATTTAATTTGTGATAATATTTTAAAAGGCTGGCAAGGGAGCATGAAAATATAGTACTTCCAAAACTGTAGGGAAGACTATAAATTTATTTTAAAAAAAACTTTCTGAAAGGCAAGTAGGCAAAATATTTAAAAATTTTTATTACATAACTTTGACCTGTCAATTCCACTACTTGAATTACAACCTAAAGAGTGTATCATACACCTTCCCCACATTTTTAACCTCCTTATTCTATTGCCCCCTGCCATCCGTGGAACTCCTCCAAAACTATTCTCTCTAAGGTCACCAATGGTCTCCATGACACTAAATTCACACTTCTCACTTCCAACATCATTTAACTTGCATTGGCATTTTAACAAAATTCACCACTTTCTCCATCCAGAGCAATATTTTTTCTCTTGCTTTCTGTGACCCACATTCTCTAGTTTTGCTCCTGTTTTTTAAAGTACTTTTCCTCAGTACCAACTCATCTCCCCTTTACCATCTTCCATTATAGGAATTTCTCGGCTGTCTGACCTGGTCCTCATCCTACGGTTTTTAAGTGATCCCATTTTCTCCCATGGTTTTAGTTACCATCTATATGTTTATGACTCAAAAAGCTGTAACTCTAGGTCAGTCATCTCACATGAGCTGCCAAGCTATATGTTTTACTATCTATAGACATCTCCATTTTGAGACCTAGAAGTAACTCAAAATCAACATGTCCTAAACTGATAACAACTTCCCCCCTCAAAGCAACTTCTCTACCAAGAAACAGAGTGAATGGCACTTCATTGCTTGCACCAGAAATTTGAGATTCTCACTTGATTCTTCCTTCTCTTTCATGCTCAACAACTAATCATCGATTACTATCAATTTCATAAGTAAAATTTTAAATTCAGAGTGACCATGTTATTCCTCTGCTTAAAATCCTTTAATATCAAATACTATGCAGCCATAAAAAATGATGAGTTCATGTCCTTTGTAGGGACAAGGATGAAGCTGGAAACCATAATTCTGAGCAAACTATCACAAGGACAAACAACCAAACACCACATGTTCTCACTCATAGGTGGGAATTGAACAATGAGAACACTTGGACACAGGAAGGGGAACATCACACACCGGGGCCTGTTGTGGGGTGGGGGGAGGGGGGAGGGATAGCATTAGGAAATATACCTAATGTAAATGATGAGTTAATGGGTGCAGCACACCAACATGGCACATGTATACATATGTAACAAACCTGTACGTTGTGCACATGTACCTTAGAACTTAAAGTATAATAAATATATATATATATATATTTTTTTTTTAAAAAAGTATATAAATCTCACAGAAGTCAAAGACTGAAGCCAGAATTCCAATGGACATCATGGAAAATGGAAAGCTATCAGGACCAGAGTTGCTCTGTGTTTAATCTTCATTCTCTCTCTCTCTGTCTCTCTTTCTTTCTTGAGACAAGTCTCACTCTGTTGTTCAGGCTGGAGTGCAGTGGCACAATCACAGCTCACAGTAGCCTCAACTTCCTGGGCTCAAGCTATCCTCCCACCACAGCCTCCTGAGTAGCTGGGACTACAGGTACCTACAACCACACCTGGATAATTTTTTCTTTTGAAACAGGGTCTTGCTCTGTCTCCCAGGCTGGAGTGCAGTGGTGCAATCTCAGCTCACTGCAACCTCCACCTCCCAGGTTCAAGCGATTCTCACGTCTCAGCCTCCCAAGTAGCTGGGATTACAGGTGTGCACCACCACGCCTGGCTATTTTTTTTGTACGTTTAGTAGAGACGGAGTTTCGCCATGGTCTCTACTAACCGTGAACAGGGCCACGCTGGTCTCTAACTCCTGATCTCAAGTGATCTGCCTGCCTTGGCCTCCCAAAGTGCTGGGATTTCAGGCATGAGACACTACGTCTAGCCCCTGGATGATTTTTGTTTTTTTTTGTAGAGACGGGATTTTGCCATTTTGCCCAGGCAGGTCTCGAACTCCTACACTCAAGAGATCTGCCCACCTTGGCCTCCCAAAGTGCTCCGATTACAGGCATGAGCCACTGCAGCTGGCCGAATTTCCTTTTTCAAACTTCTTTATATCACCTCCAATTCTAGAATTCTGGAAGTTATTGAACTATTCCATATTTGAAAGCCACTGGATTTCAATAATGCAAATAAACAGAACTTTTCACTTTTATACTTGGTAAGAAATGTTGCCAAAGGATGATTAAATATGTCAAAAATAAAATAAGATTCTATAAATTAAAAAAAAAAGAAAGAAAAATTTGTTAAATAAAGTTCCAGGCACCTAGCAGTTACTCTTTAATGGTAACTATTATTATGACAACATGTGTTTTCTATTCATGACTTGTACTTTTATGTGTATACATTCGTATAAAATCTATACATAATATTTTTTAGGTTCTTACATCTTTTGCCATCTTGTTCAGAAATCGTATACATCATATTAGTAAGCATCAACAATTGATTACATCAGTAATCAACCCCCTTTGTCCAACAAGACAGTATAAAATTATAAAAACTGTAACTTATTTTACATTCATTTATAATCTGCATCTATGATTCCTTTTGTACTTGGGCACAAAGTCTAAAGATTGTATTTAGGGTTATCTAAAACCTATGAAAAATTATTAGAGGGCAGAGTTCAACAGAATTTTAAGGAGCAAAGGAAATAAGATAATTTCAAAAAAAAATCCTTTACTATACCCCTAATAGTCCCTTCACAAAATCTAGTCTGTCCCTAACTTGTAAGCATCATTCTGTGCCTCTCCCTACTCACTACATGCTAGCCTTCATTGCAGTTATAACATGTCATGCCTTCTCTGATTCTGGCCTTTGACAAGCTGTTCATTCTACCTGAAGAATCCAATTCCCCTAGATTAACTTCATCTACAAACCTTCGCTAATCCTTCAAATGTCTGTTTAAACAACTTGTCCTATGACAGGCTGACCGCCCCCCACTCGGCCCCTCCCCAGCATGAAGCAAAATCTATTCACTATACATTCCCATGTCACTTTTAATTTTTCTTTCATCATCCTTTTAATTACTTCATCATGCTTTTAATTACTTATTTAACAGCTAATTTCATCCCTCTCCTCTAAGCCTATTGGGACAGCGACATGGTCTCTCTTAATCATGCACATACCTCCATCATCTGGAATAAAGAAATATTTGCTGACTTGATTTGAAAGACCATCTGTAGAAAGATCTATGTAAAAGGAGATTGATTATTATGTTTATTTAATGAAAACAATGGAAGCAAAGTGCTCACAATAGGGAAAGGATAAATAAGTTATAGTACATCCATACTATCAAAAATTTACAACAAATCTATATAAACCTACTTAGATAGATATGACTATATATTGTTAAATAAAAAGCAAGTTTCAAACTCACTATGAAGAGTAGTATCTCATTTTTATGAAAATTCTATATGGATGTATGTTTCTGTATATGTAGGAAAAAATTAAGAAAACTGTTTACCAGGATATTAAACAACTATATTCTAATTCTCTTAATAATGAACATGTTCTACTCTTATAATCAGAGAAAACATGCTATTTTAAAATGAAAATATTTTAAATTTAAAAACTCTGGGGGGATGTTTTGGCAACTCTCTCTCTCTCTCTCTCTCGCTCTTTTTTTTTTTCCCTGAGGAGTCAGAGGGTGCTCTTATTTGTTAGAAAGGTGCTTGACCAAACAGGCAGGGTTCCGAGAGGGGTCTCATTTGAGTTGTGGCTGTCAGGCAAGCAGATGGGATATTGTCACTGTTCTTACAAAAGGCAGTACTCGCACATGACAAGGGTATTGAACTAGGCTCCTACCATCTGTTCCTCAATGATCCATTCATGACTGCCTTGCTGATCTGCACGAAAAAGTCTTTTAGTTTCCCAAATGCAAACCACCTGGGAACATTTCTGCTAAAGGAACATCATTTGATAGAAAAATTTAGACATTTATAGTTCCTTTGAAACAAGCGTTCTCAAATCAGGATTACACTCATAAACACCACAAAACTTAAAAGCAGAAAGGACCAGGAATGAAGTCTGTTCTTTTGACTTTGAAAAAATATAAATTGGCCAGGCGTGGTGGCTCATGACTGTAATCCCAGCAGTATGGGAGGCCGAGGCGGGTGGATCACCTGAGGTCAGGGGTTCGAGATCAGCCTGGCCAATATGGTGAATCCCCGTCTCTACTAAAAATACAAAAATTAGCCAGTCATGGTGGCGCGTAGTCCCAGCTACTCGGGAGGCTGAGGCAGGAGAATTGCTTGAACCTGGGAGGCGGAGGTTGCAGTTAGCCAAGATTGCACCACTGCACTCCAGCCTGGGAGGCAGAGCAAGACTCCATCTCGGGGCGGGAAAAAAAGAAAAAATATAAACCAACACATGGTCTCAAAAAATATGAAATAGTCACAGACTCAAAGAATAATGTATCTTTTAGCTAATATAAGGAGAGCCTTCTCTCTAACAGAAGCTCTTATGTTTCAGCCATTTCCTTTATTGGCATGAAATAATGAAAGGACAATAAACTCTGGGCTCAGATGAGCCTGCATTTAAATTCTAACTTTTCCATGAACCAGTTTTATGAACTTGTGAAAGTGTCTGCCATTCTCTCTGAACATCAGTTTCTTCATCTACAAAATGATTATGAGAATATGCACTTCTGAAGGTTTTTGTGAAAACTAAAGAAAAGAATAATGTAAAACTCCTGGTTCAATGCCTAGTGCATTTTAGGTGCTCAGTTAGTTCCTATCATGTTTTGTTCAGTCACTTTTCTTCCTTCTAAAACGACACTTACTGAGTAAACCTCTGTGACAACATGCAATAAGTGTCTTGCTGGCCTACAGATGAAATGCTCATTCCACAAATACTTAAGCACCACTATGGACTGTACACTAGGGATTCAATTGTGAACAAGAAAGAAATAATTCCAACCCTTGTGAAGTTTATATTTCCATGGTAGGCTGAATAAAGGCAAAAATACTTACATCCAAATCCCCAGAATTTATGAATGTTATGAATGAAATTGCTCAAGGAAAGGGTCAAGAGCCACAGAATGCAAGTAGCCTCCAACAGCTAGAAGAAAAAAAAAACAAAAACCAAAAAACAACAAAAACAAAAAAAAAACAAGGCAATTAATGCTACCCTAAAGTCTCCAGAAGGAACCAGCCCTGCCAGCACCTTGACTTTAGCCCCCAAAAATGGATTTCAGACTTCTGGCCTTCAGAACTTAAAAAAAGAAATGTGTGTTGTTTTAAACCACTAAGTTTGTAGTAGTTTGTTACAGCAGCCATAAAAAAAAACTAATAAACTGGGAGGCATTAAACTACTAATTATAATTTAACACAACTGTGATAAGTGCTAAGAAGATTAAGTAAATTGTAATGAGAGTTTACAAAAGAGAGACACAGTCTTAGAATATCTCATTTGGGGGACTAAATTTTGATCTTAGATTTTCAAGCTAAAAAGGTATTTAACAGGCAAGGAAAGAGAGATGAAGAGAGAAAGAATTCCAGGCAAAGGAACAATAAGTACAAAGGTCCTAGGCGGGAAGAAACAAGCTCACAGAGGTTGAGGCCCAGAGACCAGGGTGTGAGAGGAACAGGGAAGAAGAAAGGAAGCTATAACATCAGGTAAGGTAGGGTGGGGAAAACACTAAGGAAAGATTTTACACAAAAATGACAGACTAGCTTGTTTCAGATAAAATCCTCCCACCCCACTTAGAACATTTAGAAAACCTGAACAAAATTGGTTTTTAACCTATTAAAAGCATCTGAGAGCTACCAAGGCCATGAGCGTTTGGGGAATTAAGATTCCAGACATGGCCGGGCGCAGTGGCTCATGCCTGTAATCCAGCACTTTGGGAGGCTGAGGCAGGTGGTTCACGAGGTCAGGAGTTCGAGACCGGCCTGGCCAACATAGTGAAACCCTGTCTCTACTAAAAATACAAAAAATTAGCCAAGCATGGTGGCGGGCACCTATAATCCCAGCTACTTGGGAGGCTGAGGCAGGCGAATCGCTTGAAACCAGGAGGCAGAGGTTGCAGTGAGCCGAGATCATGCCATTGCACTCCAGCTCGGGCGACAGTGCGAGGCTCTGGCAAAAAAAAAAAAAAAAAAAAAAACTTCCAGACAGAAGGAATTTCAGAGAGGTAAGCCTGAAATCCACAAACACTTTTTCTACCAAGGCATTTGCTGATTTAAAAAGAGTAGCTAAGAGACTATAACGCTGTGCACAAAGTGGCAGCTTGAGCAATTGAGAAATTTAACAGACTTTCAGAAACATCTCATAGGTGGGGGTTGGAGCTAAGGGTCTGTCAGGAAGGTGAGGTTCTATTAAACATTCCGCACTTTCATTTGCAACCTCCAACTCTTATTCTAAGAGTAAGGCAGAAGCAGAAATAGATCAACTCTCAAAAAGTCTGAAGCCCAATTTTAAATAGTTCAATCCCTAACTGAATTAAGTTTATCTTTCCTATCCCAACCACTTGTCAAAAGAAAAATTAAATTCTCTCTGCAGGGAGACAACATCTTTCAGAGTCCCATATTATTTCTACAAATTTTATGCACCAAATTCCAGCAAGAATTAAAAAAATAAACAAGCAAAAAAGCATTCAACTGAAGGCAACAACAAAAATTAGAAATAGACCCACAAGTCATCCAGATAATGGAATTCTCTGCCTTGGGATTTCAAATTATTATGCTTAATATGTACAAAGAAATAAAAGATGGCAAAAACCATAAAAATTTTATTTCAAATTGAAATTTGTAAAACAGGAAACATAATAATGGAAATTAAGAAGTCAACAGATGTTTTTAACAGGATATTAAACTCAGCAGCTAAAGGAAAAAAAATTAGTGAACCGAAAGATACATCAGAAGAAAATAGTCAGACTAACGAAAAGTGAAACAAAAGCATAGAAAATACCAACAGGTAAGAGGCAGATAGACCATAATAAAAAGTCCTAATCAGTGTGTAACTACAGTTCAAAAAGAAATTAAAAAACAGAATGAAAGCAACTAATGAAGAGGTGATGGCTGATTTTTTTTTCCAAATCTGATTAAAGACATCAAGTCAAAAATTCAGAACCCACTATGAACTCAAGCAGGATAATAAAAAAAGAAAGCAAAACTTCACACACCATTGTAAAACTGGTGAAAAGCAGATATATATATAGATATAGGTATATAGATATATATATAGATATCTAGATAGAGATATATCAACATTGATATATATCGATCTCTATATGGATATATCTATAGATATCTATATATAGATATCTATATTGATAAATCTATATCAAGATATCTATATCTAGATATAGATATCAAGATATCTATAGATATCTATATCTAGATATAGATATCAAGATATCTATAGATATCTATATCTAGATATAGATATCAAGATATCTATAGATATCTATATCCATCTATATCTATATCTCTATATCTAAATATATATCTAGATATAGAAACATAGATATCTAGATATCTATATCTATATATAGAAACATAGATATCTAGATATCTATATCTATATATAGAAACATAGATATCTAGATATCTATATCTATATATAGATACATAGATCTAGATATATATCTAGATATAGATATATGTAAGATATACTATAGATATATATAAGATATAGCTAGATATATATCTATACCCGAAACCAGGTGGGATATATATAGATATAGATATATACAGATATTATATATATCTCTATATATCTCACCTGGTTTCTATTATAGATATATATAGAATCTATATTATAGATATACATATTATATAGATAGATAGATATATAGATGTTAATAGAAACCAGGTGGGAGATATATTGATAGATAGAGATAGAGATAGACAGATAGATAGATAGATAGGTAGATAGATAGATAGATAGATAAATAGATCTCTATCAATCTAGCTATATATATCAATATATATCTAGATATCTATATATAATAGAAACCAGGTGGGAGAAATAAAGAGCAAATAATAAAAAATAGATACCAGGTGGGAGCTATATATATCTATATCTATATCTATATATCTATATATCTCCCACCTGGTTTCTATTATAGATATATATAGAATCTATATTATAGATAGACAGATACAGATATATATCTATAGATACATAGATAGATATAGATATATATCTATAGATACACGGATATGGATATATAACTGTAGATACACGGATAGATATGGATATATATCTGTAGGTACACGGATAGATATGGATATATATCTGTAGGTACACGGATAGATATGGATATATATCTGTAGGTACACGGATAGATATGGATATATATCTGTAGGTACACGGATAGATATGGATATATATCTGTAGGTACACGGATAGATATGGATATATATCTGTAGGTACACGGATAGATATGGATATATATCTGTAGGTACACGGATAGATATGGATATGTATCTGTAGGTACATAGATATGGATATATATCTGTAGGTACATAGATATGGATATATATCTGTAGGTACATAGATAGATATGGATATATATCTGTAGGTACATAGATATGGATATATATCTATAGATATACAGATATATAGGTATAGATATATAGATATCTATATATATAGATAGATATAGATATATAGATAGATAAATATAGATATAGATATATAATAGAAACCAGGTGGGAGATATATACAGATATATCTCTCTATAGAGAGATATGGAGATAAATAGAGATATATGTATCTCTCTATATCTCCCTATATATATCTCTCTGTATATATAGCTCTACAAATCTCTCTATATAGAGATATATATAGCTCTCTATATATATCTCTATATATCTCTATATAGAAATATATATCTCTATATATCTCTATATAGAAATATATATCTCTATATATATCTCTCTCTATAGATCTCTATATGGAAATATATATCTCTCTATATATCTGTATATAGAAATATATATCTCTCTCTATATAGCTCTCTCTATATATCTATACATATATCTCTCTATATAGATATATATGTATCTCTATGTATCTCCCACCTGGTTTCTATTATATATCTATATCTATATCTATCTATTTATCTATAGATATATATCTATAATATATATATCTATAATATAGATTCTATATATATCTATAATAGAAACCACATGGGAGATATATAGATATGGATACATAGATATATAGATACAGATATATATCTATATAGCTCCCACCTGATATCTATTTTTTATTATTTGCTCTTTATTTCTCCCACCTGGTTTCTATTATATATCGATATATAGATATATATTGATATATATAGCTAGATTGATAGATGTAGATAGATAGATATATGGATATATGTATCTATATATATAATAGAAACCAGGTGGCATATATATCTAGATATCTGTGTCTATATCTACATATATATAGATACATATATAATAGAAACAAGGTGGGAGAAATGACGAGCAAATAATAAAATATGTTTAAATTCAAATGCTTCAGGAGTTATATTAAATGTAAATGGACTTAATTTTCCATTTAAAGACAAAGGCTCACAGGCTGGATAAAAGTAACAAAATCCAACTGTATTCTGCTTACAGGAAAACCCTTTAAATAAAATGACATCAAATGGTTGAAGGTTAAAAAAAAAAGGAAAGATATATTATGAAAACTCTAACCACAAGAAAACACAGAAACTATTCTTTAAAGTAAGAAGCATTACTTGAGATAAAGTGAGAAGTTTAGTACTGACAAAGGGGTGAATCCAACAAGAAGAAATAACAATTTAAATATGTATGCACTCAATAATAGAGCCTCAAAATACATAAAGGCAGTAAACATCAAAAGAATAGATGGAAAAATCTGCAATCATAATGGAAGATCTTAATATACTTCTCTCAGTAATTGAAAAAAATTCTGTCTAGGTGCAGTAGTTCACATCTATAATCCCAACACGTTTAGAGGCCAAGGTGGGAGGATTTCTTGAAGCCAAGAATTTAAGACCAGCCTAGACAACAAAGTGAGACCCACTCCTACAAAAAACTTAAAAAGTAGCCAGGCATGGTGGCATGTGCCTTAGTCCCAGCTACTCAGGAGGCTGAAGCAGGAGAATCATTTGAGCCCAGGAGTTAAAGACTGCAGTGAATTTGATCACGCCACTGCACTCCAGCTTGAGTGACCAAAAAAAAGAGAAAAAAATCAGATTTTTTTAAAGCATATAAAAAATTGAACAATATGGGCCGAGCGCGGTGGCTCACACCTATAATCCCAGCATTTTGGGAGGCTGAGGTGGGCAGATCATGAGGTCAGGAGATCGAGACTATCCTGGCTAACACGGTGAAAACCCGTCTCTACTAAAAATACAAAAAATTAGCTATGCGGGGTGGCACACGCCTGTAGTCCCAGCTACTCGGGAGGCTGAGGCAGGAGAATCGCTTGAACTTGGGAGATGGAGGCTGCAGTAAGCCAAGATTGTGCCACTGCACTCCTGCCTGGCAACAAAGTGAGGCTCCGTCTGAAAAAAAAAATTGAACAATATGATAAATTAATCTAATTGATATATATTTCTATACCCAACAACGCATTCTTTTCAACTGCATATGGACACAATGAAATTGATCACATGCTTATCCAGAAAACAACTCTCTACAAATTCCAAATTATTGAAATTACACAAATCATGTCTTTTGATGACAATGATATTAAGCAGAAAATAAATAAGAAAATGTAACTCTAAAATTTCCAAAGATTTGGGAATTAAGAAAATGACTTATAAATTACTTATGTAGTATTAAGGAGAAAAATCATAATAAAAATTTGTAAAATACTTTTAATCAAACAATAATAAAAATATGACATATGACAACTTGAAGGTAGTACTGAAAGACACTCTCAGAGAAAAACTTACATCAGATGCATATTTAGAAAAGAAGAAATTCTTAAAATCATTATCTGCATGTATATTACAAAAGTTAGTAAAAGAAGAGAAAATTAAACCCCAAAAGAATCATAAAGAAGGAAACAATAAAGACAATAAAATAAAGTAAGTAAACAGATGCAAAAGAGTGGATAAACAGAGGCAACTGTTGGTTTTTTGTCAAGACTAAGAACATCAACAAACCACTGGTAAGATAGATCAAGAAAGTAAAAAGAAATAAAGATAGGGTCAATTACACAAATCAAAAAGGGGATATCACTTAGGATTGTATATCTACAAAAAAGAAGAACATTTTATTTTGAAAATTTAGATTAAAATATCTAAATTTCTTTTTTTTTAGATGGAGTCTTGCTCTGTCGCCCAGGCTCAAGCGCGGTGGCGCAATCTTGGCTCACTGCAACCTCCGCCTCCCAGGTTCAAGTGATTCTTCTGCCTCAGCCTCTTGAGTAGCTGGGATTACAGGTGCATGCCACCATGCCCGGCTAATTTTTGTATTTTTAGTAGAGATGGGGTTTCACCATGTTGGTCAGGCTGGTATTGAACTACTGACCTCATGATCCGCCAGCCTTGGCCTCCCAAAGTGCTGGGATTACAGGCGTGAGCCACCACACCCAGCCTAAATTTCTTAAAAAATACAACTTAATCAAAACTGACTCAAGAAGAAACAGGAAACCTGCATAATTCTTTATAAAAGAAATTGAATCTATAGTTTAAAACCTTCCTAAAGAAAAATCCCAACCCAGATGGCACTGGTGAATTATTCCAAACATTTAGGAAGAGATATAACCACCTTACACAAACTCTTTCAGATAATAGAAAAATAGGGAGCATTTCACAACTCGTTTTATGAGCATTACTTCAGTTTAAAAAGAAAAACCTGATAATGACATTAAAAGAAAGGAAAATCTTCCTCATGCAAAGACCTGTAAAAATCCTAAATAAAATACTAGTAAATCGATATATCCAGTGACATTAAAAAAAAAAAAAACGGTAATACATCATGACCAAGAGGGTTTACTTCAGGAAAACAAGGTTGGTAACAGTCTAAAAATCAGTCCATCAAATTCACCACACTAATAGAGTCAAGAAAGAAATTCTCAATAGATAGCAAAAATAAAAAATATTCAGTGGTATATAGATACTGTGGAATACTACTCAGCCATAAAAAAGAATGAAATAATGGCATTTGCAGCTACCTGGATGGAATTGGAGACCATTATTCTAAGTGAAGTAACTCAGGAATGGAAAACCAAACATCCTACGTTCCCACTCATAAGTAGGAGCTAAGCTATGAGGACTCAAAGGCATAAGAATGACATATTGGATTTTGGGGACTCAGGGGAAAGGGTGGGAGAATGGTGAGGGATAAAAGACTACACATTGGGTACAGTGTACACTGCTCGGTTGATGAATGCACCAAAATCTCAGAAATTACCACTAAAGAACTTATTCATATAACCAAACACCACCTGCTCCCTAAAAACCTATTGGAATAAAACCTAAATTTAAAAAACAAACAAATAAATAAAGATAAAATATATTCAACACTTATTTTTGATAAAAGCTCTTAGAAAACTAGATTGTAAATTCTCTGTTAGATTGTATGTTCCTTAAAGTAAAAAAACAAAAAAGTCTTTTTCAACTCTATGTTCCTCACATCACCTTCAATACTAAACTTTACCAAAGAGACATGTACTAAATATTCACTGAAGTTAATGCAAAAGTCCACCTTATGTGTCATTCTTTTCTTTCAGCTTTTTGAGGTAAAATTAACAAATAAAATTATATATATTTAATGTACAGTGTGATGATTTAATATGTGTACACATCATAAAATGATTACCATAATTAAGTTAATCAACACATTCACTTCACATAATTACCTTTTTATTTATTATTTTTTGTGAGAATGCTTAAATTAAGATCTACTCTCAACAAACTTCAATTATACAAGAGGTATTATTAACCATACTAAACATGCTGTAAATTAGATCCTCAGAACTTGTTCATCTTATAACTGAAAGTTTGTACATTTTGACCAATATTTTCTCATTTTACTCACCCTCAGATCTCGCAACAATCTATTTCTGTGAGTTCCTTTTTTTAGAAGATTTCCACACATAACTGAGAGCAACACTATTTGTCTTTTTTTGTTTGGCTTATTTTACTAAACATAATGCCCTCCAGTTTCATCCACATTGTCCCAAATGGTAGAATTTTCTTTGTTTTTATGGCTCAAAAAATTCCATTGTATAATATACCATCTTTTCTTTTTTGATTCATCCATTAACAGACCCCTAGGTTATGTCCATATCTTGGCTACTGTGAATAATAGTGCAACAAACCTTGGAATACAGCTATCTCCTCCAGATACTGGGTTTTTTCCTTCAGATATACACCCAATAGTGAGACTGTTGGATCATATGATAGTTCTAAATTTAATTTTTTGAGAAACATATGTACTGTTTTTTATAATGGCTATAACAATTTACATTATCACCAACAGTGTACAAGGATTGCCTTTCCTCTACATCTCATTTTCCTGATAATTAGTGGTGTTGATTACTTTTCCATGTACCTGTTGGCTATCTGAATATCTTCTTTAGAAAAATGTCTATTCAGGCCCTTTGACCATTATTTAATTTGATTATTTGGGTTTTTTTGATATTGAGTTGTATGTGTTTCTTATAAATTTAAATAGTAACCCTTATCAGATATATGGTTTGGAAATATTCTCTCCCATACCACAGGTTGCCTTTTCATTTTGCTGATTGTTTCCTCTACTGTGCAAAAGATTTTTACTTTGATGTAGTCTCATTTGTTATTTTATTTTTGTTGGTTGTGCTTCTAGTCTCATATCCAAAAAATTATTGCCGAGACAAATGTTAAGGAGCTTTTCCCCTATGTTTTTTATAGTAGTTTTATGGCATTAGGACCTAAATTTAGGTTTTTAATCCATTTCAAGTTAGTTTTTATAAGTCGTTAAAGATATGAATTGCCTATGATTTGAATGTGGTTTGTCTTCACCAAAACTCATGTTGACATTTGGCTCCCTATATGCCAGTATTGGGAAGTGAGGCCTAGTGAGTGATGTTTGGATCATGGGGGTGGATCCCTTTGAATAGATTAATGTCCTCCCTCGTGGGTAAATGAGTTCTTGCTCTATTGGGAATGAGTTATTTCCCACAAGAGCATATTGTTATAAAAGAGTCCGCTTCCTCAGTTTTCCTCTCTCTCTCACAACCTCTCTCACCATG